>NC_000010.11:51961277-52112792 GCF_000001405.40 Homo sapiens
AAGTTGACCCTCGTGTCCACGGGTTTTGCATCCCAGGAATACTGTTTTTGATCTGCGTTTGGTTGAGAATGAGGAACCTGCAGATGTGGAGGGCCCACTGTATTTATTGAAAAAAAAGAATCTGCATTTAAGCAGACCTGCACAATTCAAACCCATGTTGCTCGAGTCAACTGTGCAAAGTAAGGTGTGGTATATATGGTTGCAGGAGTAATTAATACATTTAACAGATATCAGCAATTGGTGCTCAAGTGCACATGCAATAACACACACCCAGAAAGGTACACAGTAGAGATGGATGTGGTAAAGTACAAACATTGATGACTTCCCTCTTCTATGCTCTTTGAATAAAATGCTAGATTCATGGTGATTGTTATTTGTTTGAAATCAAAAGATTTAGTCATATCCTCCCTCCCACAAGCTGTTATTGTCCAAATTTTTACGTGTATTACCAGAATGTATTTCTGGTTAGCTTTGCTCACTTTTGAGTTTTTATTTGTTGTGTATTCGATACTTGAGGTAGTTTTTGGAGGCAAGCTGTACTGACATTGTTGCAGCTACTCTTCCAGTTATTTAGAGACCAGGTAGTGATCCCAAGTAAGCCACCAGAAGACTGATCTGTGATATCCACGTCAGGAAAGACA
Organism: Homo sapiens; assembly: GCF_000001405.40. NCBI lineage: Eukaryota > Metazoa > Chordata > Mammalia > Primates > Hominidae > Homo > Homo sapiens. The sequence goes on from NC_000010.11 coordinate 51,961,919, forward strand.
AAATTGTTCCCCAGTTAAATAAAAAATTAAGTAAATAAAAATGGAAAAACTAGCACCATCGGACATCATGCCCTTTTAAAGAAATTGGGGTTTAAAAGCAAGTTGTATTTAGATTGAAGGGCTATGGGGACAAAAATCCAAAATCTATCCACCAAGGAGAGGCAAGTTAAAGGCTTGAAAGCAAAGAGTACACCACAGGCTGGAAGACTCTTGGTTGGGAGAGAAGGGTCAGGAAGGAGCTCGGGAAGAATGATTCTTAAAAACTAGCACCAAGGATGGGTAGGAGCACTAGCCCTGGAGCTGGACATCTAGGGTTCAAATTCTGGGAGCTTTGTCAGATACTGAGGCATTCAGAATGGTGGGTGGGAACACTAGTCTTGCAGCTGTACAGCCTTGATTCAAATCCTGCTTCCCCCTATTATAGCTGTGAGATCTCGGTTTCCTTACCCAAAGATGGGTAGACTCAATTTAGTATGACTGTTCTGTGAATTCCATGAAATAATAAATACAAATAGGATGATCATAGGTCTTGAATGGCTAATTTAGCTCCAGATTTCTTTTTCTTTTCTTTTCTTTTCTTTTTAAAGTGAGATATTATATAAGCCACGATGGATTTGGTAAACCTCCCTTTGATTTGCAGCTGTGGTCATGGTCTCTTCCTGTGTTCATTGAGACTAAATTTGGAGTTCACCAGGGATAATCCTGCTTTTTTTTCCTGACTCTTTCCAGATATAATTTAACTAATGTAATGTCTACCTTTCAAGGACAGCATATTAGGCTTTGACTGTAAAACAAAGTGCACAGGGGAATGTGGTCTAGGCACATGTAGCTCCTGATGTGGAGTGGCTGTAGGAGAAATATTCAGCACTAATGTCCCTACCAATATATTTGTTGGCAGCCACTTGAGCCTAGCTCTATGTTTATATTAATATCTTCAAAATGTTTGAGGCTACAAGGAATTTAATCGGTGAGATGAGTGGGGGAAATGTGAATTATTATGGAGTAGGTTTATCTTAACTATTTTGTGTGGAAAACAGAAGCTGAGAAATCTTTCTAGTTTGAGTTTATCAAGAAAGGCTGGATGCTCTCAGTGTAGTTTTGTCATTTATCATAGTAGAAATGTACACCTGCTTATTTATTTTATGTTTTGGCACAAACTTTTTTTTTGCAATGAATTCTTTCTGTAGCAAAAAGGTAAAAAAAATTAACTGGCGGATTTCTAAAAATTTGATAATGAATGTGTAACTTGCATACAGCATTCATTAGTATTTACTATTTACTGTGGATGTATTGAAATCACTAGCTACATGGCAACGAGGAGACCCAAATCTGCTGAAGATTCAAAAATAGGCAGTTGAATTCTCCACTTCAAAAGTTGATAGTTATTTTAAGAAGACTGTTCATTAAGATGATGATTTAGCACGTGCTAAAGAAGCACATGCTAAAGCTACAAAAGATGTGTTTTTATATTACTGTGAAGCAGTTTTCATTTAGATCTAGTGTCTTATTTTAAATTAATTTCATTCATTTTTATTTTTATTTATTTATTATTATTTTTTAAGAGAGAGTCTTGCTCTGTCACCCAGGCTAGAGTGCAGTGGCAAGATCCTGGGTCACTGCAACTTTTACCTCCTGGGTTCAAGTGATTCTTCCTGCCTCAGCCACCCGAGTAGCTGGGACCACCATGCCCGGCTAATTTTTGTATTTTTAGTAGAGATGGGGTTTCACCATGTTGGCCAGGCTGGTCTCGAACTCCTAGCCTCAAGAGATCCACCCACTCCAGCCTCCCCACATGCTGGGATTACAGGCGTGAGGCACTGCGCCAGCCTCACTTATTTTTAAGTTTCCTTGTGCACATAAGAAAAATTAGGTAAAATCTTCAAAACACTGTCCCTTCTGGCAAAAGATAAACTTTGCAAACATTCAAATGATTCTGATTTTATGTCAGTATCACTAGATGCTGTATTAGTTTCCTATTGCTGCTGTAACAAATTACTACATAACAACATAAATGTATTATTTTATAGTCCTGGAGATCAAAAGTCTGAAACGAATCTAACAGATTAAAATCAAAGTGTCAGCAGGTCTGTATTTTTCTTAAAGTTCCATGGAAAAAATCTGTTTTTTTGCCTTTTCACTGTTTCTGGAGGCACCCTGCACTCATTGGCTTGTGACCCTATCAAAGACCATCACTTTAACCTGAGCTTCCGTTGTCGTGTATCCTTTTGCTGACATTGACCCTCTTGCTTCCCTCTTGTAATGATCCTGGTGTTTGGGTTCACTGGATAATTCAGGATAATCCCTCCACCTCAAGATTCTTAATCACATCTTCAAAATCCCTTTGCCAAGTAAAGTAACGTGCATAGGTTCTGAGGATTAGGATGTAAACATCTTTAAAGGCTCAATATTCTGCCTAACACAGATGCTTCAAATACATCTTTATGTTCATTCCAATAACAGTTTAATGACAGCATTGAATTAAATAAAGCTTGCCCTTATTGTGAATGTTAATGTAAATTCAGTTTGAAAGTTCAGCGTTGATGGTAAAGTTATTTGTTTTCAAAGTGATTACAAATTTGGCAGAGCCATGTCATCGTGACAACAATGTTCTTACAAAATTAAGAGATTTATGGAGCAGAAATGTATTTGAAACAGGTTGTGGTGTAAAAATAATTCATGTGCCCATAACTGAGTCCCAAGAAACTAGAATATACTAACAATAAAAATAGATGATCCAGTTATCAAATTTTATAGGTACACACACGCATAAACACACAGAGAAAAACTGAACTGAAAAACCTTTATGATAGAACTGACATTAAATTTAAAAAAGTAAAACAACCCTCCAGTATCACAGTCTTCCTTTTGTTGCCCAGCTTCAACTGCATCCAAAAATATCTGAGGCACTGGAGGACTCACTTGTAAATAAACCTGAGTGTCCTACAATGGCATTCAATTCCTTTGTACATGAGTCATTTGGTTGCAGTTTTATTTAAAATCAGTTGGAAACGTTTAATCAAAGTATTCAAAAATTGGAAACCCAAAAAACTGAAGCTTTTAGAAAATTGTAATTATTGAAAGCAAAGCATGAATATAGGCATTGAAATTTGTTCTTATAAAAGCATGGAATAAACAGAATAAATTAAAATTTGAAAGCTCAAAAATTTTTTAAATTTATATTTTAAGTTCAGGGGTACGTATGCAGGTTTGTTCCGTAGGTAAACTTGTCTCTTTGTTTTTGTACAGATTATTTCATCAATGAGGTATTAAGCCTAGTTACCATTAGTTATTTTTCCTGATTCTTTCTCTCTTCCCACTCTCCACCCTCTGATATGCCCCAGTTGTGTGTAGTTCCTCACTATGTGTCCATGTGTTCTCATGATTTAGCTTTCATTTATAAGTGAAAACATGCAGTATTGGTTTTCTGTTCCTGCATTAGTTTGCTAAGGATAATGGCCTCCAGCTCCATCCATGGCCCTGCAAAGGACATGATCTCATTCTTTCTTATGGAAAGCTCAAATTGTATGTAAGATTTAATTTTGAAAACCTGTGATTGCACTTTGAACTATCTTGTTTTCTGGGAAGAATCATTTGATGATGTTCCTGTTTTAAATTTGATACATTTATATTCTGTTTCAGAATATAACAACATTAAGAAGGAAGTTCTATGATTTTCAAAAGAATCATATAGCAAAACAAGGTATTTGATGAGATTTGTCTTTCAGAAATAGTTGCTGACAAAGCATAGTTTGAAGGGAGGCACCAGGCAGTAACAGTAAAAATATCTGGATGAAAGTATTTACAAATTCCAATATGAAAAAAATTACAATTGAGAATATCCTCCACTTAGCAGTCTGTTCTTATCTATTCAGATATTTTTGTAACTGTAGAAAGAATATTTTGTCAAAAATGGTGTGATCTAGAGAGAAGAGTTAGTTGCGAATGTCAACAATTTCAAAATTAGAAACCTTAAAATGTAATTTTGAAGATTGCAGTCAGTTCTGTGAAGAAACAAGATATGTAAAAATACATTCTTTAGAAAGTACCTCTAATATGCATTAGAAAGAGATATAAACATAGATTCAATTATATAGTTATGCACCAAGAATAATTATTCTAATTATGTGATTTTTAGTACTCAAATAATCAATGTAAATGTTTTTAATTTTAATTTTGCATTAATATATGTGAATGTATTTTATATTTTAATGACAGAAACATAAATCGTTTCTGAATGGAACCATTTCATAGGTGTTTCATATTTCATAAGCTGATTAGCAAATACATATTCATGATTTTATATGATTGATAATTTCAGCAACCCTTTCCATCTGCAAACAGTACCTGGCTCATTGTAATCTCTTATTATTACCATAAGCAGCTTAGTGAGGAACCTTCTGAGACACCTAACCTTTAATAATTCCTTTCTCTGTGGCCTGTGGAACACTTTCTTACATATGAATTCAACATTTTTTTGTGTCATTTTCTGCTTTAATCTGTTTCATACATGCTTTTTCTTTTTCCATGTCATAAATGGCATGTCCTATTAACACTTTTTCTTTCCGTATTTCCTTACTTTAACTGGCATTTTACGTCAATGCCATTTCTTTCAAAGTATTATGCAGCAGACACCAAACTTTCTCCCAATTCCTTTAACTTCTCCTGGAGGAAGGGCTGACTTTGCTTATGCTATGGCTGTGTTTGTGCACTGTGTGTACAGCCCCATGATTCACAGATGAGGGAGCAAGCACAGGCTGAAATTCTATAGGGCTCTCTTCACCTATTTGTGCAAAAGAGTCACCTATGCCAGCAGCGCCCTGGTGTGCCACTTTCACTCTCCTTTAGAAGCCTCTGCTCTTTGTCCAGGCCAGCCTTTCCTCATCCTTGTCAATGCTCAGCATCACTGGTCATCAGAGAAATGCAAATCAAAACCACAATGACATACCATCTCATACCAGTTAGAATGGCAATCATTAAAAAGTCAGGAAACAACAGGTGCTGGAGAGGATGTGGAGAAAAAGGAACACATTTACACTGTTGGTGGGACGGTAAACTAGTTCAACCATTGTGGAAGTCAGTGTGGCGATTCCTCAGGGATCTAGAACTAGAAATACCATTTGACCCAGCCATCCAATTACTGGGTATATACCCAAAGGATTATAAATGTTGCTGCTATAAAGACACATGCACACGTATGTTTATTGCAGCACTATTCACAATAGCAAAGACTTGGAACCAACCCAAATGTCCAATAATGATAGACTGGATTAAGAAAATGTGGCACGTATATACCAATGGAATACTATGCAGCCATAAAAAAGGATGAGTTCATGTCCTTTGTAGGGACATGGATGAAGCTGGAAACCATCATTCTCAGCAAACTATTGCAAGGACAAAAAACCAAACACCACATGTTCTCACTCATAGGTGGGAATTGAACAATGAGAACACATGGACACAGGAAGGGGAACATCACACACTGAGGCCTGTTGTGGGGTGGGGGATGGGGGAGGGATAGCATTAGGAGATATACCTAATGTATACGACGTGTTAATGGGTGCAGCACACCAACATGGCACATGTATACATATGTAACTAACCTGCATGTTGTGCACATGTACCCTAAAACCTAAAGTATAAAAAAAAAAAAGATTGTTTTCTAAACTCCAGAGCCATTTCTCCGTATCTTCAATGGCCTCAGCCCATTGGCCTTGACATTATTCTTTATGACTTCAGTATTGTTGACTTCACAGCCTTTTTACTTCTTCAACTCCAAAATAGCACTGTCGTTTCCTAGTTGGAATCCCGCCGTTCCTCAGAAAGTTTCCTTCCCTAGCGTCATGGGTTTTTACATGGCTTTTGTGACCACAATCATCTTCACCACTCCTCCCCTCTTTCTTGCAGAATGTGCCTTCCATATGCCTCACCTCAGGACCTCAATGTTTTGGTGCTTCTTCATTTTCTCAGTTCATCACCTGCTTTAGGCTTTATTTACCTTCCTTTGTCATCAGAATCCCACCAGCCATTCTCAGTGATTCTGTTCACTAACTGCTTAGAAATCTTTCTCTGTTGGAGAAAGCGTTACAGAAGCCTTAGAGCTTAAGACAGTGTTTAGCCGTTTCCTTCTTACTAATACTTGAATTTGAAAGTCTTGACTATCTTCTTTATTGCCTTCTAGAGTTTTGTTACTCAAAATGGAAGCCATGGATCAGCCTCTGGGAACTTGTTAGAGATGCAGATCTTGCCTTATGCCAGACCCATGAGTTGGAATCTGCCTTTTAACATTATTCACGCTGAAGATGGACAGGCACTGCTCTAGAGTACCAGGAGACCAAGGCCAACTGTAAAGATTATTCTTTACTACTTCTTTGGCAAGCCAGATAAACTCTAGGAGTGGGTGAATGGTTGGCTCCAGGCTATGTAGGCACAGCAAGGAGCAGAAGAAAGAGCAGGACTGTGGGGATGCCATGCATGGGAGGAATGGGGGAGAAGAAGAGGCATAGACACAAAGACTGTGAAAATGATCATTTCAGAGACCCTAAATTACTCATACATACATTCAATTCCTGTGTGTGCTGAGTGGCGATGGTGATGATGGTATTAATAATAATAGTAATAATTAGACCAGGCATGGTGGTTCATGCCTGTAATCCCAGCACTTTGGGAGGCTGAGGCAGGCAGATCACGAGGTCAAGAGTTCGAGACCAGCCTGACCAATATGGTGAAACTCTGTGTCTACTGAAAATACAAAAAAATTAGCTGGGTGTGGTGGCAGGTGCTTATAATCCCAGCTACTCAGGAGGCTGAGGCAGGATAATCGCTTAAATCCAGGAGGCGGAGGTTGCAGTGAGCCAAGATCATGCCACTGCACTCCAGCCTGAGCGACAGAGCAAAACTCCATCAAAAAAAAAAAAAAAAAGAAAAAAGAAAAAAATAGTAATAATTAAAAATTGTTCATCCCAAATTATGAAAACAGAATCTGCACTTCAATGAGAACACTAGATAACTCATACATATAATAAAATTTGAGAGGTATTTTCTAAAGTAGTGGTTTTTAAAGAACTGTTGTGTGAAATCACTTTAATGATTCTAAAACAGCAGCAATGACAATAAAATGGATTAAAATAGAATACATAGAAAATATCAGGGTATGATTAAAAAACATGGTAAATGTTAACATTGGTTTGGGAATTTTTCAGTAATATTTGTGTGTGCTCAATTATGATATAAAGTAAATTTCTTACTTGGGTAAAAATGGTTGGTAAATCTCATCTAGACAATTTTTCAGTAGCAAATGCAAAACCAGGCTGAAGAAGTCTACTCAATTTCTGGCATCTCTTGTCAATCCTGCCTTCATTTCTCCCTAGAAATCTTAATCATCATCATGCCTCATAACTTTGTGAGAAAGAAAAGGTGGAACTGTGATTCATTCAAGTGAGATTCACACAAAACCCATCAGAGTACAGATAAAAGTACTACCCATTGGTCTAAAGTAGAATTTCTAAGTCTTTTCTGAGAATTATTCCTCAGAGAATAAGGATATATAACTCAAGCCTTTTCCCTGTAATTTTGGAGTTTCTTTGAAACCACTTTATTTTCCTTTAAAATTTATGCAAAGTCATATGAAAGAACTTTTACAAATCAATAAGAAAAAGACAATCCTATAGAAAAATAGCAAAAAGTCTCAAAGTGTTATATTGTATAAGAAAATATGCAAATAGTCAAATAACATATAAAAAGGAGCTCAAAACCATTAGTTTTCAGAGAAATGAGAAAGGCAAATCAAAACTACAATGCAATACAATTGTATTCCCACTAGAATGGCTAAAATATAAATATTCACAACAACCAGTTTATGACTAGGATTAAACAGCAGGATCTCTTATACTCTGCCGATAGGATACAAATTAGCACCATTTCTTTTTTCTTAAAAAAGTCCTCTTTATTTGGAATTGATTTTAAACTTACAGAAAAGTTGAAAAATTGAAAATAGTTAAAACAGTATAAAGAATACCTGTATACTTACCAAGATAATCAATTGCTAAATTTTACTCTGTTTGCTTTATTTGCCCATTCTCTTCATACACACACACACACACACACACACACACACACACACACACACACACACACCCATATTTATTTATATATTTTTCTTTAATTCCCTGAACCATTATGTTATATATATCATGGCCCTTGACCTCAAAATACTACAATGTGTCTTCCCTAAAAGTAAGACTGTTTTCTTACATCAACATAGTGCAGTTATCAGCTTCAGTAAACTTTAACATTGATATAATGCTTTTCAATTTTGAACTTACCTTTAATACGTTTAACTTTTAATTTTGTTAATTCAACTAATAATGTCCATCACAACACTTTTTCTTTTAGATCATGATCCAGTATAGGATCAAGTATTACATTTAGTTGTCATGTCTCTTTAACCTCTTTAATCTAGAACATTTCTACAACCTTTTTTTTTGTCTTTTATGACATTATATAAAGAATAGAGCCCCTATTTTTATAAAATAGGTTGATGCAATCACTTTTAAAACCTTGTTTTATAAGAAATTTCGAACAGATAAAAAGAAAATAAATTGTATTATGAACTCTCACGTATGACTCACTCAGCTTCAACAATCATCAACTTTTATTTTTTTATTTATTTAGTTTTTGCTATCCTTGTTTCATTTGTACTTATGCTCACTGGTGTAGCTAGTTTTGAAAACTTTGAAGCTGACCATATTGTATACATGATTAATCATCTGATATATATATCAGATATATCATCTGATATATATATATCAGATATATCAGATTATATATATATATCAGATATATCAGATTATATATATATATCAGATATATCAGATTATATATATATATCAGATGATGTGTATATATATATATGTGATATATATATATATATATCTCCATCCCCAACAGAAGTACATGTGTAAGTACCTAAGAAAATATGGACTAGAGTATTCATAGCAGTTTTGATCATAAATGCCAAAAGCTAGAAATAATGTAAATACTCTTGACTACTAGAATGGCTAGACAACTTGTGATCTATTATGGAGTACCACACAGCAATGGAAAGGAATAAGCTAATGCTACATGCAAAACATTGATGAATCTCACAAATATGATTCTAAACAAAAGAAGAACAGAGTATTTGGCTGAAAACAAGCAACGTGAATGAATCCATAGCATTAGATGTCAGAATAGTTTTTACTTTTGGAGGGGGTGTAGTGATGGACAAAATCATAATAAAGGTTTCCAGGATTTGGCAATACTCTATTTCTTAACGTGGGTTGTGCTTGTGTCCATTTTAGAAAAATTTATAGAGCTATCCAATAATTTTCCACTTCTCTATGTCCATTTAATTTTAATTTAATGCAAATTATTTTTAAAGATTTATATGAAGTTTATTTTCTACTTCTTAATATATCTGTACTCATTTTAATATAAAGATATTTCAAAGTATTCAAAATCATTAAAAAACATTTTACTTATCTTTTTGTTACCAAATCTACAAATTTAGAAAATCGATTTGAAGTAATAAAGCTTTGAATTCAGGCAGTTTCTCTTTTTTTATCTTATTGTCAAAATATTTTGAGCACTCCAATATAAAAGAATAAATGTTAAGAGTTTTATTCACTGTCTTTACAGCTATATGAGTAATTACTTCAGTCTACTGTTGATAAAAATGTTGATATATCTATCTTTTGTTAATGGATCAAGTTGCTCTTGTTATACAGTGAACTGAATGGCTCTTTACCTCTTACACAATCTCACAGGAACACTTCATCCTAATGTACACTTCATTTTATTATAGCACCTTGTCATGTGCAGTAAAAATATTCATTTTGTCATAGAGTTGCTGATTGAGTGTTCAGCCTTGAAAAAATATTTGCTATTAAAATGAACTGTGCAAGTCAGTCTTAAAAATTAAGTACTATTTCACACATGCAATAACACAGTTTGTAGGCATCCAGGAATCCACTATCTAGATATAACGCATTTTACCATTTTGCCAATTTGCTGCAGATCTTTGTTAAATTAAATTAAATGAAGTTATATCTACAGATTCTTTCAAAGCTTTCTGTTTCCTGTCTTATTCTCCATAAATGTCTTCTCTCTTCTTCCCTCCCTCCAAGTACAATTCTCCTGAAGTTAGTGCATGTTTTTACAATTATGTTCTTACCCTTTTATGATATGTATGAGCATGTGTAATAATATGTTTCATATGTTTAACATTTTTTACATAAATGGTCCTATACTTTGTGTGTATATATATATAATCTTTTGCATTTACTTTTTGCACATCTTATATTTGGGATCAGATAGTTTAAAAGTATTCTGTTTGATAAATATGCAATAATTAACTTAACCATTCCCATATTATCAGTTGTTAACCACTGTGTGCTATTGCAGCAATGCTGTTCTTGAGCTGAGTGGTTATTGCACTGCGGTCATACCTCTGGTCATATACTGAAGGTGAGATTGCTATGCTGAATCATGTCAAATCCACCTTATTTCTTTACTAGCTCTTACCTGATGGCTAAGAAGTGTACCAATTTATACTTATAACACGTGGTAAATGGAAGTTCTCATTTCCCTACATGCACTTGGTTCTGTTAGACATTTAAACTTCAGTTGTGAGTTTCTGTTTATTATTAAACAGTAGATTAATTGACCTTATCTACATTTTCATCTGCTTTTATATTTTTTTCCTGTGTGAAGAAATGTAGAATTTAATATCCCCAAATTCTGACCTGTCCCTTACTTCTAGTTACCCAAGGTAACTGTAGAGTATCAAACAGTTAAAGCTATTTCTCATCTTGGTAATAATCTGTCTTTTAAAATAAGTATCAGAATTACTTTTTTGTGGTTTTTACAGTTCTGATTTGATATAGGGTTTTTTTTTTAACAACATTTTGTATTTTTGCCACTTCATTGGAAATGTCAGTTCTGCCCACAGCAATTCCTAGGGTATCACTGAACACGAAGCCTCCCAGGAGCACAGACTGAAAGTCACTGATCTGGTCAGACTGAAGTAAATGGAACAGAGGCACAGAAGTTGCTTCTTTCTAAGGGTTCCCTAGTGGGACCCACATGAGGCAGCGGCACTTTGGAGCAACAGGATCAGCCCAAGATTCAACCCTGCCAGTCTCTAGTGACAAGCTTCTGCCTAGGGGAAGGTGCAGGCTGATCCTGTCACATGGAATGTGTGACCAATGCTTGCCATGGCTTCATTAGCACCTCCAGGAGCTGAAAAACACTGTTGCTATGAACCAAGGTGAAATGATCTGCCTCACATTCCAGCAAGCTACACTCAACCTTGCTGTTACTCAGCAGTCTGTTTTATGAATCTCACGCTGCCTCCCTGAGGTTCCAGATCATACTCATTTTCTACTCAAACCATCCTTTACTCTTGTAAAAGTAGCACCATCCTCCTTTTCATTCAGACTCAAATGCCTGACACATAGGCTGAATTTATTATGTTCCATTGCATGTCTTCTAAACTGGAAACCATTGGAACAATGCCACCTCAACAGTTTCTCTTGAAGAAACTGCTTTCTGACTTATTCATCCTGTGATCATTCTGCTTTGGTCCTACTTACATCTTTCACTTGGTATATTAGTTGCAATGTTCCTCCATAGTGCTCTTGGCATTGCTCTCATGGATGCAGAAATAGTGGACTCAGCTCTAAACAGTTCATCTTCAATGACTTTATTTTTCTTATACATCTGTTTTTATTAGATGAGAAAATCTTTTCTAGAAATTCTTTGGTGGACTTTTCCTTATATCTCATAGATCAGAAACACATCACATAGCCAATTGCTCCCTAAACATAAACGGGCAGGGAGTTCAGAGTAGCGACAATTGGTTAAGATTAGGGGTTGGCAAAATGTAACTCATGGATCAAATACATCATGCTGCCTGGTTTTGTATGGCCCAGGAGCTAAGAAGGAATTTTACATTTAAGCGGTTAAAAAGTCAGAAGAATATGTTATAACACATGAAAATTATATGAAATTTAAATTTGAGTTTCCACAAATGAAGTTATTTTGGAATGCAGTTACATTCATTCATTTCCACATTGTCCATCATTTTCTTCATCTTACAATGACATAAATGAGCAATTATGACTGAGACCCCATGGCCTGCAAAGACTAAAATATTTACTATCTGGTCATTTATGGAAAAAGTCTACTCAACCCTGGCTTAGGTCACTTTATTTTTGTCCCTTAGGGAAGGATCCACTTTTCTTGAGCATATTGCTACCTGCAAGATTCTGGAACAGCATTAGGGTTCTGTTAGCAGAACCCTGTGTGAATGATGACTACTGGGAGGTACACAGCAGTGTCAGCCTTATTTGGAATATTGTAGTAACTGACTTGTTTCTCTACTCCTAGTCTGCTTACACTCCTCCCCACCCAAATCATTTTGTATGTTGCTGAAGAAAGGATCATCCTGGAATACCCTTCTTAACATGTTAGGTTTCTGTTTAGCCTTGCATCACCTGTCAAAGTCCAAACTTGATCCATCGTTTAGTGCCTTCTGTGCTCTGGATCCAACTTACTCCCATGTGTCATCTGTACTTTAGACACATCAAGAATCTGTATTCCCTTTATTTCTGCAAATATTCCCTCTCTTTCATATGTCCATATGCTTATGCTAGTTCTTTTGTTTACCTAAAGACCCCTAATTACTTTAGGAGTTACTCCACCTTAATCCTAACCATATTTTAATGTTCACCTTAACTTCTCCAGAAATTTTTCTGACTTCCGCATTTGCATAATGCATATCATTTTCTGAACCCCAAAGGAATTGGCTTGTATCTCTTATGACACTGTAACATTCTGCCTTTTTAATAGTCTCTCTGATGTTTTTCTAAAAGATAATAAGGCCCTTGAGGTTGTAAACTGTCATTTTAAAAAGTCAGTACAGTAGCTTATACCTAGTAGAAGATAGTGACAGAGAGTATATTGGAATTTGGTGCCCAACTACGTAGAAAATGTCTTCAAAGCTAGACAAAGATTCTCAATCTGGAATAGTAGGAAATAAGAAAATATACTGACGGTTTTTACTGGTATATCTGGTAGGGAGTGGTTTTGGGGAAAAGGAAGACTGATGTATTTATAAATCAATTGTTTAATGACAGTTACATGCTGAGTGCATTAAATGTGTTACCTCTTCAATTGCAAGATATTTATAAGTAACCATAAAATACGGGCTTCATAGGTCCATTTTATAGTTAAATAGGTTCAGAGATACTAAGTAATTTGCCCAGGGACATACAGATAGCACAATTTGGAATAGAACCCAAATCTGTCTGAGTCTCTCGTGTAGACCAATCTCTTTCCATCACTTTAGGACAGAAGCAGCCTTCGCATGGTCCATTATGGATGACTATAAAGGCAATCCTTTCCTACCTCACAAGCAATTAAAGACTCAAGCGGGGGAAATAGGTTATGACACAATCAGAAAGCAGTAATCAAAACTGTTGTGGAAAATAAAAAAAAAATGAGTTGCATTGTATCATGCTGGTTGTAAACATTCCACACATACATACCTTATCTAGAATTTGGGATTCATAAAATGCTGTTCTTATATAAGTTTAAAGCACTTCTGCCATACATAGCTAGGTGTGTGCAAATGTATGTATATTTATAAGTATGTTGTTTTGATGAAATTATGCAGAAGGTTAATTCATGTGTTTTCTACCTGAGTCAGGTTGATAGTACTGTATGCTAAAAGTATAAAACTCTTAGAAGGAAACATAAGAGTAAATCTTTGTGACTTTGGGTCAGGCAGTGGTTTTTAGATATGACACTAAAACTAAAAATTTATACAATTGACTTCATCAAAATAAACACATTTTGTTCTCAAAATGATTATATCAGTACAGTGAAGAAAACCTACTGAATGGGAGAAAATATCTGATAAGGGACTTGCATTCAAAATATTTGTCTTACTATTCAATAATAAAAAGATAAATAACCCAATTAGAAACAGGGGAAAGAATTTGCATAAACATTTCAGCCAAGACAAAATACAAGTGGCCAATAAGCATATCAAAAGGTCTTAAACATCATTAGTCATTAGAAAAGTGCAAATCAAAACTGCAGTAAGATACCAGTTCATACTGACTAGGTTGGCTATAATCAAAAGACAGATAATAACAAGTGTTAGGGATGATGTGGATAAATTGTGACCCTCATATACTGTGGGAATGTAAAAGGGTGCAGACACTTTTGAAAATAGTTTGAGAATTCCTCAAAATATTAAACATAGATTTACCATATGACCCCATAATTCCACTTCTAGGTATATATCCAAGATAAATAAAAACACACAAAAACTTCTACATGGATGTCCATTACAGAATTATGAATAATAGCTCAAACTGAAAGCCATGCAAATGTCTATCATGATTAACGGAAAAACAAAATGTGATATATCTACACAATGGAATATTACTCAAGCATAAAAAGGAATGAAGTCCTTATAAATGCTACAAACTGGATAAACCTTAAAAACAATGTGCTAAGCCAAAGAAACCAGTCACAAAGGCCACATACTACATGATTCTATTTATATGAATTGCCAAGATGAGTCAAATCTATAGAAACAGTAGTAGATTCATTATTGCTGGAGGCTGGGGTGGTAGGAGTTAGTGGAAATGGGGAATGACTGCTAATTGTCACATGTTTTCTTTTAGGTTGGATAAAAAATTCTTAAGTTAGATTGTAGTGATGGTTGTACAACTCTTTGAATATACTGAAAAACACTGAACTGTACAGTTTAAAAGGCTGAATTTTATGGCTTGTGAATTATATCTCAATGAAGAAAACAACTCAGTTATTTGATAGACAACTCATTAGGAAAAACGAGAATTATATTTTTAATTAAGTTATGACCTGTGTTAGCTACTTATTTATGACTTATAACTGTATTCAAAGTAGTAATCAAATATAATCATTTTTTCCATATATATTGAATGTTTCTGAAAATGAACTTTCATAAATACAATGCTTTGTTTTTTTACTTTTATTTTAAGTTTGGGGCACATGTACAGGTTTGTTAGATAGGTAAACTTTGTCATGGGGTATTGTACAGATTATTTTATCACCCACATATTAAGCCTAGTGACCATTAGTTATTGTTCAGACCCTCTACCTCCAACCACCCACAACTCTCCAATAGGCCCAAGTGTCTGCTCCCCTCTATGTGTCTATGCATTCTCATCATGTAGCTTTCATTTATAAGTGGGAACAAACATGTGGTATTTGCTTTTCTGTTTCTGCATTAGTTTGCTAAGAATAATGGCCTCCAGTTCCATCCATGTTCCTGAAAAAGATATGATCTTATTCGTTTTTATGTCTGCAGAGTATTCCATGGTGTATACGTACCACCTTTTCTTTTATCCAGTCTACCATTGATGGGCATTAGATTGATTCCATGTCTTTGCTATTGTGAGTAGTGCTGCAATGAACATACGCATGCCTGTCTCTTTATAGTAGAATGATTGATATTCTTTGGGTATCTACCCAGTAATGGGATTGCTGGGTCAAATGGTAATTCTGTTTTTAAGTCTTTCAGGAATTGCCACACTGTTTTATACAATAGTTGAATTAATTTACATTCCCACCAACAGTGTATAAGTATTCCTTTTTCTCTACAACCACACCAGCACCTGTTATTTTTTGACTTTTTAATAATTGCCATTCTAACTGGTGTGAGATGGTATATTATTGTGGTTTTCATTTGAATTTCTCTAGTGATCAGTGATACTGAGCTTTTTTTTCATATGCTTATTGGCTGAATATGTGTCTTCTTTTGAAAAGTGTTTGTTCATGTCCTTTGTCCATTTTTAATGGGGTCATTTACTTTTATCTTGTAAATTTGTTTCAGTTCCTTATAAATGCTGGATATCAGACATTTATCAGATGCAAAGTTTGCAAAAATTTTCTCCCATTCTGTCGGTTGTCTGTTTATTCTGTTGATAGTTTCTTTTATTTTGCAGAAACTCTTTAGTTTAATTAGATCCCATTTGTCAATTTTTGATTTTGTTGCAATTGCTTTGGCATCTTTGTCATGAAATCTTTGCCTGTTCCTATGTCTAGAATGGTATTGCCTATGTCGTCTTCCAGGTTTTTTATAGTTTTGAGTTTTACATTTAAGTCTTTAATCTACCTTGAGTAGGGGTCCAGTTTCAATCTTCTGCTGTGACTAGCTAGTTATTCCAGCACCATTTATTCCAGCACCATTTATTGAATAGGGAGTCCTTATCCCATTGCTTGTTTTTGTCAGCTTTGTTGAAGATGAGATGGTTTTAGGTGTGTGACCTTATTACTCGTCTCTCTACTCCATTTCACTGGTTTATGTGTCTATTTTTGTAGACAACTGGGTTACTGTAGCCCTGTAGTATAGTTTGAAGTTGGATAGCATGATGCTTCCAGCTTTGTTCTATTTGCTTAGGATTGCCTTGGCCATTCGGGCTCTTTTTTTTTTTTTTTTTAGCTCCCTATGAATTTTTAAACAGTTTTATGTAGTTCTGTGAAGAATGTCATTGGTAGTTTGATAGGAATAGCATTGAATCTGTAAATTGCTTTGGGCAGTGTGGCCATTTTCATCCTATTGATTCTTCCTATCCATAAGCATGGAATGTTTTTCCTTTTGTTTATGTCATCTCTGATTTCTCTGTGAATGTTTTGTATTTCTCCTTGTAGAGATTTTTCACCTCACTAGTTAGCTGTATTCCTAGGCGTTTTATTTTTTTACTGTCATTTGGGGATGGGACTGCATTCCTGATTTGGCTCCCAGGTTGACTGTTGTTCATGTACAAAAATGCTAGTGATTTTTTGTATGTTGATTTTGTTTCCTGAGACTTTGCTGAAGTTGTTCATTAGATCAAGGAGATTTGGGCTGAGACTATGGGTTTTCTAGGTATAGGATTATGTCATCTGCAAACAAGGATAGCTTGACTTCCTTTCTTTCTATTTGGATGTGCTTTATTTCTTTCTCTTGCCTGATTGCTCTGGCCAGGTCTTCTGATATTATGTTGAATTGGAGTGGTGAGAGACAGCATCTTTGTCTTGTGCTGGTTTTCAAAGGGAATGTTTTTAGCTTTTTCCCATTCAGCATAATGTTGTCTGCGGGATTGTCATAGATGGCTCTTATTGTTTTGAGGTATGTTCCTTCAGTGCCTAGTTTATTGAGAGTTTTGAACGTGAAGAGATATTTAATTTTATCCAAAGGCTTTTCAGCATCTATTGAGATCATGTAGTTTTTGTCTCTTGTTCTATTTATATGATGAATCACAGTTATTGATTTGCATATGTTGAACCAACCTTGAATCTTAGGGATAAAGCCTACTTGAATGTGATGGATACGCTTTTTGATGTGCTGCTGGATTTGGTTTGACAGTATTTTGTTGAGGATTTTTGCTTCAATATTCATCATGGATATTGGTCTGTTTTTTTTTTTTTTTTTTTTTTTTCTGTTTTGTCTCTGCCAGGTTTTGGTATCAGGATGACGCTGGCCTCATAGAATGAGTTAGGGAGGGGTCCTTCCTTTCAATTTTTGGAAATAGTTTCAGTAGGAATGGTATCAACTCTCAACTCTTCTCCTTTGTATATCTGATAGAGTTCAACTCTGAATCCATCTGGTCCTGGGCTTTTTTTTTTTTTTTTTTTTTAAGGTTGGTAGGCCATTTATTACTGCTTCAATTTTGGAGTTCATTATTGGTCTGATCAGGGATTCAGTTTTTTCCTGACTCAGTCTTGGGAGGATGTATATATCCAAAAAATTTTCCCATTTCTTCTAGATTTTCTAGTGCATGTGCACAAAAGTGTTCATAATATTCTTTGATATTTTGATAATATTCAGGTCAGGGAAATATCCTGTTTGTCATTTATAATTGTGTTTATTTGGATCTTCTCTCTTTTGTTTTTTATTAGTCTAGCTAGCAGTCTATCTAATTTATATTTTAAAAACTCCTGGATTCATTGATCCTTTGAAAGGGTTTTTGTGTCCCAGTCTCCATCAATTCAGTCCTGATTTTGATTATTTCTTGTCTTCTGCTGGCTTTGGGGTTGCTTTGTTCTTGCTTCTCTAGTTCTTCTAGTTGTGATGTTAAGTTGTTAATTTGAGATCTTTCTAACTTTTTCATGTGAGCATTTAGTGCTATAATTTTCTTCTTAAGACTGCCTTACCTGTGTCCCAGAGATTCTGGTTGGTTGTATCTTTGTTCTCATTAGTTTCAAAGAACTTCTTGATTTCTACCTTAATTTAATTATTTACTTAAAAGTCATTCAGAAGCAGGTTATTCAATTTCCATGTAATTGTATGGTTTTGAAGAATTTTCTTAGTCTTGATCCCTAATTTTATTGTGCTGTTGTCTGAAAGAATAGTTGTTATGATTTCAGTTCTTTTGCATTTGCTGAGGAGTGTTTTGTGTCTGATTATGTGATTGATTTTACAATATGTGCCCTGTGGTGATGAGAAGAATGTATAGTCTGTTATTTTGGGTTGGAGAGTTCTGTAGAATTTCTATCAGGTCCATTTGATCCAGTACTGAGTTCAGTTCTTCAATATCTTTGTTAATTTTTTGCCTTGATGATCTGTCTAATACTGTCAATGGGGTGTTAAAGTCTCCCATTGTTATTGTGTTGGAGTCTAAGTCTCTTTGAAAGTATCTTAAGAACTTGCTTTATAAATCTGGGTGCTCCTCTGTTGGGCATGTATATATTTAGGATAGTTAGGTCTTCTTGTTGAATTGAACCCTTTACCATTATGTAATGCCCTTCTTTGTCTTTTTAAATTATTGTTGGTTTAAAGTCTGTTTTGTCTAAAATTAGTATTGCAACTCTGATTTTTTTCTGTCTTCCATTTGCTTGCTAGATTTTTCTCCATCCCTTTATTTTGAGCCTATGGGTGTTGTTGTATGTAAGATGGGTCTCTTGAAGACAGCATACCAATGGGTCTTGCTTCTTTACCCAGCCTGCCATGTTATACCTTTTAATTAGGACATTTAGCCTGTTTACATTCAAGGTTAATATTGATATGTATGGATTTGATTCTGTCATCATGATGTTAGGCAATTATTATGCAGAATCTTTTGTGGGGTTGCTTTACAGTGTCACTGGTCTGTGTACCTAAGTGTGTGTGTGTTTTTTAGTGGCCAGTAATGGTCTTTTCTCTTCATATTTAGAGCTTCCTTTAGGAGCTCTTTTAAGCATGTCTGGTGATAAATTCCCTCAGCATTCACTTGTCTGAAAAGGATCGTATTTCTCTTTCACATATTAAGCTTAATTTGGCCAGATACGAAGTGCTGGGTTGGAATTTCTTTTCTTTAAGAATGTCAAATGGCTAGGCGTGGTGGCTCATGCCTATAATCCCAGCACTTTGGGAGGCCAAGGTGGGTGGATCACCTGAGATCAGGAGTTCAAGACCAGCTGGCCAACATGGTGAAAGCCCATCTCTACTAAGAATACAAAAAATTAGCCAGGCATAGTGGCATGTACCTGTAATCTCAGCTACTCAGGAGACTGAAGCAGTATAATTACTGGAACCTGGGAGGCATAGGTTGGAGTTAGCCAAGATCACGCCACTGTGCTTCAGCTTGGGTGACAGAACAAGACTCTGTCTCAATAAATAAATAAATAAATAGCAAAAAATAAAAAAAAGAATATTTAATACTGGCCCCCAATCTCTTCTGGCTTGTAGGGTTCTGCTGAGTGGTCCCCTGTTAGTCTTATGGGCTTCCTTTTGTCGCTTATCTGACATTTTTCTTTAGCTGCCTCAAGAGTTTTTTCTTTCATTTCAACCTTGGAGAATCTGATGACTGTGTGTCTTGGGGATGATCTTCTCGTGAAGTATTTTAGTGAGGTTATCTGCATTTCCAGAATTTGAATGTTGGCCTCTCTAGCTGGGTTGGAGAAGTTCTCATGGATGATATCCTAAAACATGTTTTCCAAGTTGCTTACACTCTCCCTGTCTCCTTCAGGGACACCAGTGAGTTGTGGATTTGGTCTCTTTCCATGATCTCATATATCTTAGAGGTTTTATTCATTCCTTTTTATTTTTTTCTCTATTTTTGTCTGACTGTCTTATTTCAGAGAGCCAGTCTTAAAGCTCTGAGATTTTTTCCTCAGCTTGGTCTATTCTGCTATTAATACTTGTGATTGCATTATAAAATTCTTGTAGCATGTTTTCAGCTCTATCAGGTTGATTACATTCTTTTCTATACTGGCTATTTTGTCTGTCAGCTCCTGTATCATTTTATTGTGATTTGTATCTTCCTTGGATTGAGTTTCAGTGTATTCCTGCATCTCAATGATGTTCATTCCTATCCATATTCTGAATTTTATTTCTGTCATTTCAGCCACCTCATCCTGGTTCACAACTTTTGCCGGAGGGGTAGCGCAGTCATTTGAAGGAAAGAAGACACTCAGGCTTTCTGAGTTGTCAGAGTTCTTGAGCTGGTTCTTTCTTATCTTTATGGGCTGATGTTTCTTCATGCTTTGAAGTCGCTGACGTTTTGATTTATTTTCTTTTATCCTATTTGATGACCTCGACTGTTTGATGGTGCTATAAGGTGGGTTCAGCCAACTGGCTTTATTTCTGGAGTATTTTAGGGGACAAACACTCAGCTCCCAACTCCTGGATTGTGTTCTGTAACTCTGGGGGACTTTTATCAGCCCCAAACTTTGTTCTCTGTCTCCTTGAGATTAGGAATCCATTGTGCTGGGGGTGCTGAGGTGCTCCTGGACCACTGTTCACTATACTCCAATGGGTAGTGTCAGCAAAAGTGTTTTATAGTGCAGTGGCAGTGGGATCCATACTCATTTATACATTCCAGCAGCAGCAGCAGCAGCAGCAGTGTAGTGGGGTGCACACTCATTGGCTGCAGCAGGGTGCTAGCAGGTGCCAGGGTGCCTGCCTCCATGCAGGCAGTCACCTAAGTGGTGGAGGCAGCATGGCTCAAGGGGGAGGGCAGGGAGTCCCTGCTGGCAACTGTACCCATGGTTGTGCTGGTGACGGTGTTAATATGGGGATGGGGCACTGGTGGCCTCTTTGTGTGCTGCGGGCCCTCTTTGTGTGCTGTCTTTGTGCCCTCTTTGTGTGCTGCGGGCAGGGTTGGTAACTCAGGGAGGGGGTTGGTCGGCTGTTCTCTGTGCCTAGTGTAACTCCCACACCAGTGTTGGCAAGGGTGGGGCACTGGCAGGCGTGGGGCTGGCTGGCTCTTTCCTGCCAAGGCTTTGACTACAATGGTGGTCCAATAGGGGATCAGGGCATGGGGACAGAGTGAGGTGCTGGTGGGGCAAGGAAGGTTACCCTCCAGGCCCCTAATCCCTACCTGCTACACACACTGCTGGCAAAGCTATGTGGGAGGTGGCCATGGGGAGGGAACCGGTGGGCTGGTGTATGGCATGGGGGCAGTCCCACTGAAG
The DNA here is from genome assembly GCF_000001405.40 of Homo sapiens. Classification (NCBI taxonomy): domain Eukaryota; kingdom Metazoa; phylum Chordata; class Mammalia; order Primates; family Hominidae; genus Homo; species Homo sapiens. The sequence goes on from NC_000010.11 coordinate 51,983,390, forward strand.
CTCTCTACCAGTCAGGCATAGTCTGCCTGTGAAAGACCTATGATGTGGGCCCCCAGGGCACCTGAGGCTGCACTGTAAGCAGGTGTGGCCATGCTGGGGCCCCAGGAGAGGACAGCAGACCAAGGGGTGCTTAGACTGGACCAGCCCCATCTGATGGGCAAGAACCACCCTGAAGAGTTTAGGTCCCACAGTTCCTCTAGGGCTAATGTCTCCTATAGGAACAAGTTGAGCCTGGGGGATGGGCATTCCTGGCTGTGTTCCTCTACAGACACTCCCACACCAAACACTCTGGGCTCTGCATCAGCTAATGTACTGCACCTACCACTTCTCTAAGCAGCTCTCCCTGCCAGCTGAGTGTCTGTGGTGGTTAAGGGGTATCCTGCTGAGATTCCAGAAGCCCATGGCGAGAAGAGCTTGCGCCTTTGCCAGTTCAACTCACCCATTTCCCCAGAGTTGTTGGGGGTCAGGAACAAGTCCAGGAGCAAAGTAGCCCTGTGCCGGGTTCCCAGCTTTCTGCCCCCAGCCAAGCTACTGTGTCAAATGCAGTTCTTTTAAAGGAAAAATAAATTTGCCAAAAATTAGGGGCACCTATTTGAAATGCAATTGGCCATATATGTAGTTCTGGAGAAAGATGAGGAACTCACAGTCACTTACGTTAAGAAGTACACAATTACAGACACATTAACCACCTTGTGCGGTGTGAGAGGATATATGTGATACTAGGCACAGAAGAGAAATGCATTGGGAACCTAAAGAAAGAAAACTTCTCTGTGAGGCATGTTACAAAGGGTGATATGAGAAATTACTTGGGATTAGTATATGGTAGAAATATTTTGTAAGAGGAATGCATTATTGAAGACATTATGCAATTCAAAATTCGTGTAATTCAAAACTAATTTTAAAGATTGGCCAGTGTTATTACTTACAAGCTAAAGTGGCATTGGTAACTGCAATACTATAAACAAAGTTTATTATTCATTTCCGATGATTTTGAAATTATTTAATTATTGACAAAATATTTCTTTTGGGAGATTCACATCGTTTTAAATTTTGAGTATAAAGTGATATTTTAATAATGTTTCTTATTACACTCTGAAGTATGCACAATTGTAAGTAGCTCAATTGTGCTTGTGTTATAGGCAACAGGATTTCACCAACAGGAACAGGGCAGGTGGAAGATTTTTTGTAATACCTGTAGATGCAACATTGCAAAGTGAACTTCAAGGAATTATTAATACATAATATTGTTTATATACTTTAGGTATCTCTGACTGGAATGTGCTACAATGTAACTCTCAGTGGTAATGTGAGAGCCATTTTTGTGTCTATAAAAAATGATTTCAGTCATGTAGAATCAAAGCTGAATGCTGCTTGAGTTTTTTAGTTGGGGCCTAATCGTTCTAAATGATTAAAATTCCCTCAAAGCTAATATTAGAAGATTTAACAGAAAAAGAAAATCCTATCAAGAGGCTGGTACTTGGTAAGGCAAGGTCATGACAGTAAAGTTAAATTTTGTTCCTGAATGATGTTTTGTTCCCTCTGGGCAGTACCCTTAATGCTTCATGAAGAGTTAAGTGTCTGAAAAGAAGAAAAGTTGCATATTAGATTGCAAGCCACCTAAATTATTTTATTTCCTTTTGCTAATATTTTATAAATACCATAGGACATATATTTTTAGGCAATAGTTCATTTTGAATTGTTATATTGAAGAACTTTTCCTTCATAGAGCATGGAGCACATCTTCTATTTTTATTCCATGCCTTTTGTTAAACTTGTTCTTTTTTGGTTCACACTAAATTAGTCAAAACTCTTATTAGAAAGCAATAAGAAATTAGGTTAGCCCAGGAGCAAAAGTGCTTATGGATTATTTTGAGAAAAATAATTCAAGCTTGTTTCATGCGATTGACAGAGGCAAAATATAGTGAAACTTTTTTCAGCTGCACAAAATTTAGGGCATCTCAGAGAAAGCAAAATCTTTAGTGTTCATAGTCTTCTGTATATGTTATTAATTTAAGTGTCAAAAAATGTTATTCATAGCTTTATTTAAGTGACCATGATTGTTAAAATATTTTGCAATGCTAAAAAAATGTAAACTCATGGAAAGAACATGGGAATTGTATCACTTGTTCTTTTTTAAGATTGCTTCTGTCAGCTCTTGGCACATCAGCTGGGGAAAATAAAGAAAAAAACATCATTTCCTCAGTTTTGTTTGTGAGCTTGGAAAAGTTACAGAAGTTTGCATCTAATTAATATTTTTTATAGCCACTTGTTTTCTATTTGTAGTCTGCTGCCATTTAAAAAATGGTTGTATCATACTTTAAATTTAAAATGTATTGGTAATATAAAGGCTACCTTAAGGAAGTATTTGCTTCATTCTCTACAGTCTCTGTGGATGCCAGGTGTCTTAGTCAGTTTGGGCTGCTATAACAAATACAGATGTTCCTCCATTTACAATGGGGTTACATCCTGTTAGACCCGTTGCAAGTGGAAATATTGAAGTCAAAAATGCATTTAATACACGTAGCCTACTAAACATCATAGCTTAGGCTAGCCTACCTTAAACATGCTCAGAACGCTTAACATTAGTTTATAGTTAGGCAAAAGCATTTGGCAACACAATACACTATAGGGTATTTGTCATTTACCGGTGACAGCATGGCTGACTGGGAGCTGTGGCTCACTCTCACTGTCCAGAACCACAAGAGAGTACTGTGCTTACATATTACTAACCCAGGAAAGGGTCAAAATTTGAATTTCAAAGTACAGTTTCTAATGAATGCATATTGTTTTCAACCATCTTAAAATTGAAAAAAAATTAACGCTTGTAAGTCAGGAACCACCTGTACAATGAAGAAAAGAAAGTTTCTGAAACTAGGAATTAACCTCACCACTTTGTATTTTGTTTCAGTGACTCCTGTAGTTATTTCCTTCAAGAAATATCTCTTCTAAACCTCTATTGTTCAGAATAATTATATTAACATAGTCACATAGAACACATAAGATAGTCACTTCAAAAAAAAGATCTTTTCCAAGTTCAAGTGAAGGAAAAAGTTAAGCAAAAAGCACTATGATTTTTGATGAGCACTTTCTCAGAGATCTGGGCAAAGTAGGAGAACATTATGTGATGCCAGCTAAGAATATCAGTTTCTATATGGTTTAAACCAGAGTAATGCTGGGATGTTGACATCAGCTGCCAGAGAAAAAGTCCATAGTGGGCTGCACCCTGTGAAATCACCTGCTCCAACATGAACTATGGTCTCTAGACTTGTGTTATTTGATTCTTCAGAGCAGACTCTACCTTGGTAACAGGTGTTTGGGATTAGAAGTGAAACCTCAGCTGCAGTGATGTCTCACATGCATGCAGCTTAGAGCTCGTATGAGATACTGGGACTTGCCTGTTGGAGGGGAGGAATAGGATGCCTCTCAGAGCAGCTGGCATTGTGGACATTCTTCCCATAGAAGGAACAGGAAAAAATACGCTTCTATCTTGAGCATACACAACTTGCTAACAAAAGAACTCTTCAGGGAGATGGGGAAGTCTGTCAAGATTTTTTTTTCAGTATTCTTTTATTAGGCTGATTACTATAAATAAGAAAAGCTTATCATGAAAATGATTAACACTTAGGTCTAATATTTTCTTTGAGTATATATTTTTGATTGGTAACTAGTTATGTATTATATCTACAACTGGAATTAATAATTAAAAATAAAAATGTGTCCTATTTGAAAATTACAGATTCTATTAGAAGCATCATATTAAAAAATCTTAAAGTTGGGTGGTTCAGGTTAGTAAATATGTAAGTGGTTTGCATGTAAATGATGTCCAGCAAAGGAAAGGAAAAGTCTCTGGGTACATATGTTCAATGATGTATGTACTTTTGTGAAGCCACTGCAAGCTTAGCACTTTTAATTAAAAAAAAATTCGAGGGTTATGTGGTTCAAGACAGAGAAAAAAATAAAACTACTGCAGTCATCTGGCAAAGAAGGTTCAAGAAGGAAAACAAGCTTATGTTCTATACGTGGTAGAAGCTTTGTTAAATGTTGACATGTAAAATCTTCTACTCATTACTTTTTTTTTTTTTTTTCTGAAACTTACAATTAGAAAAGACTTTAGCTATACTCTGGTCCAAATGTTTCACTTTCAACAGTCCCAGAAATTCTAAGTCACTAATTGTGTGAATTGGAAGTGACTTCTTAGCCACTATGGGCTTCAGTGTTTCACACTGTAAAAAAATGTATTCTATAAGTTTATCTCCAACCGTAAAATTCAAGGCTATTTCTTTAATTTTAGTTCAATATTTGTAACTATTCGCTCTAAAGAAATTTCATTACCTGTAATAAATATCTCCCATAATTTCATGTCAGTGTATGTGTGTCTGTGTTTATTTGTGTACATTTATCTATGATTGCAAAGAGTTCCCTGGTAGATTTAGTAAGGGACAAGTATAGGTTCAAGAAAACGGCCACAAGGAGCAATATTTTTAATGAAATTATAAAGTTTGAAAGTTGCTGAATGCTACAAAAATAATATAAAAACACTAATTATACCTCACACTCAAATTTAACTGTTGTTAACTTTATGCCATATTTGTTTCAAGACTATATATACAATTTAGAAATAAAATGTTATAGTTCAGTCCTGCTTCAAATCTCTCTTTTGCCTTATTTGCTTTTCTCCTTTTTCACAGGTAACCACCATTCTAGCCACTATTGTATGTGCCCTTTACATCTACATTTTTAAACTTTGCATAATATCGTTATGGGGAATATCATTAAAACAATGCATAATATTGTTTGGTATGTACTAAAAATATACATAAATTATATTTCATTGGCTATATTTATTTACGAATGAATTTTCTACTGATTAATATATTTTTGAGATTTATCCATGTGGATATGTTTAACTTGATGCAACACATTAGAAAATTTATTGATTCTTCCCTAGATGGTCAGTTTATTTCACTAAGATAAATAATGTTATAGTGAACCTACTTGTACTTGTATATGATTAAGTGTTGGGTTGCTAGAAATTATTAAAGATTTCCAAATCTCCAATATGAGAGTATCAAAATAAGAGTCCTCACCAACAGCAGTAAGTGTGTGGAAGTTTCAATTTTTCCACATTATCACCAACATCTTGGTTTAATACATTTAAAAATGTTTGCTGGGTTTGAGGTATCATTGTTTAAATTTTCACTTCTCTAATAATAAAGGTAAACATTTTTCCATAAGTATTGGCTATTCAGGTTTCTTCTTCTGTGAATTATCTATGCATATCCTTTATACCTTTTTCTTTTAGGTTTTTGTTTGGTAGAGGTATCTTGTTCTTGTTGATTGGTAAAATTTTTTTCTTTTAGGCACTAATCTTTGCCAGTTATGGGTGTGGCACATCTTTTCACCCTCTTTATAGCTTGTCTGTTTCACTTTAAAATAATATAGTCTTTGCTTTCTATAGAAGTTTTTAAAATGCTAGTTTAAATGTAGTTTATAGGTTTAATTTAAATATAAATCTTTTATGTTGTTGCCTTTTTTTTCTGTCTTGTTTAAGAAATACTTCCCTATTCAGACACCATAAAGCTATTTCATGTTTTCTTCTAAAAATTAGCTTATCTTTTAAAACTTTTCATATATACCTGAAATTATTCTCTGCCCTCTTGATCCACATACAGCTAGAGTAGAGATGAGCACAAAAGTGTGTAAGGCTGTGATAACAGTGTTAGTGAAGATGCAGAGGTGAGAGAACGCATGGAAAGTGCAAGGAAACAACAACAACAAAAATCACAGTTAAGTTGAATCATAGGGTATGTTATCGGATGGGTGGAAGAGGAAAAGTAAGTAGGTGAAGCTAGATGGGTCTTATTATATGAGGTCTTAAATCCATTTTAAAGAGTTTGGTCTTTATATTGAGATTAGTAGGGAACAGTTGCAAGGTGTTAGTAGACAATAGCATCATCAAAGATCTATTCATTTTAAGAATGATTACCCGTAATGTGGAGAATGACTGGAAGGGACGGATGAGGCAGGGCAAAATAGGTTGAAATCATGTAATAATTCAAGGTCAAGTCAATGACAACTGAGTCCAGTATAGAGACAGTCCCTGTGCTACACATCTCCAGAGGTGAATTTAGTAATGTAACCAGATTGCCTGTAATGTCAATCATAATAGCTTTGGCTATCAAGTCTATAGAAGCCAATGATGATAAAAAAAAAAACTTAAAAATTATGAAGAGAATATTTCCTCTAGGACCCATGAAGGCACTTTAAGAAATGCCTCATAGTTCATTGAGCAGCATAGATGTCATGAACATAGGAACAATTTAGAGAATCTATAAGGTCAGCAGAGAAGAAAAGAATCTGCCAAAAATCAGACTCATCTTTAAGGAGTAACTTTTTTTATAAACATTTCTTTTAAGTTTGATGTAATCCCATGTATTTATTTGTGCATTTGTTGCCTATGCTTTTGGGCCCTATCCAAAAATATCATTGCCCAGACCAATATCATGGGACTTTCTCTCTTAAGTTTTCTTATAATAGTTTTAAGATTTCAGGTTTTACATTTAAATCTTTAATCCCTTTTAAGTTGTTTTTGAGTTAATACTTTTTTTTTAGTATATGGTGTGAGAATAGGGTCTAATTTTATGCTTTTGCATGTGGATATCCAGTTATTTCAACACTATTTATTGAAGAGACTGCCCTTTCCTCACTGTACATTCTTGGCACCTTTGTCAAAAATCAATTTGCCCTAAATGCATAAATTTATTTCTGGGCTTTCTGTAATATTCTGTTATATTAATCTTATATCTGTTTTTATGCCAGAACCATGCATTTTTGATTACTATGGCTTTGCAGTATAATTTAAGGTCAGGTACTGTGTTGCCTGTAGGTATGTTCTTTTTGCCCAAGATTGCTTTGGCTATTCAGGAGGTTTTGTGGTTTTGTACAATGTTAGGATTGTTTTTTCCATTTCTGTGAAGAATGCCATTGATATTGTGATAAGGATTGTATTGAATCTGTAGATAGCTTTGAGGAGTATGCACATTTTAGTAATATCAGTTCTTCCAATCCATGATCGTAGTATTTCTTTACTTTTTTTGTATTCTCTTCAAATTCTTTTTTATTATGATTATGGTATTTAATATAAATTTTATAATCTTTCAGGTAATTTGTATTATTTTTATAACTTTTATTTTAAGTTCAGGATTACATGTGCAAGTTTGTTATGTAGGTAAACTTGTGTCATGGAGGGTTGTTGTATAGATTATTTTGTCACCCAGGTATTAAGCCTAGTTCTCATTAGTTATTTTTTCCTGATCCTCTCCCTCCTCCCACCCTCTACCCTCTGAGAGGCTCCAGTGTCTGTTGTTCCTCTCTATGTGTCCATGCGTTCTCATCATTCAGTTCCCACTTATAAGTGAGAACATATATTTGGTTTTCTGTTTCTGTGTTAGTTTGCAAGGCATGATGGTCTCCAGCTCCACCCATGTTCCTGCAAAGATATGATCTCATTCTTTTTATAGCTGCATAGTATTCCATGGTGTATATGTACCACGTTTTCTTTATCCAGTCTATCATTGATGGGCATTTAAGTTAATTCCATGTCTTTGCTACTTTTCGATTTCTTTCCTCAATATTTAACACTTTTCGTTGTAAAGATCTTTTACCTCCTTGGTTAAATTCATTTCTAAGTGTCTTTTTTATAGCCATTGTAAATGGGATTGTTCACCTCATTTCATTTTCAGATACTTTTCTATTGGTGTATAGAAATGCTACTGATTATTCCTGTTGATTTTATATCCTGCAACTTTACTGAGTTTGTTTATTAGCTCTAACAGTGTTTTTAGTGGGGTCTTTAGGGTTTTCAATATGTAAGATTGTTCTGTCTGCAAACTGGGACAATTTTAATTCCTCCATTCCAATTTGATACTCTTTATCTTTGTCTTGCCTAATTGCTATAAAAATGGTGAAAGTAGTCATCCTTGTCTTTTCCAGATTTTTTTTTTAAATATACTTTAAGTTCTAGGGTACATGTGCACAACGTACTGGTTTGTTACATATGTGTACATGCGCCATGTTGGTGTGCTGCACACATTAACTCATCATTTACATTAGGTATATCTCCTAAAGCTATCCCTCCCCCACTCCCCCAGCCCATGACAGGCCCTGGTGTGTGATGTTCCCCTTCCTGGGTCCAACGGTTCTCATTGTTCAATTCCCACCTATGAGTGAGAACATGCAGTGTTTGGTTTTTTGTCTTTGCGATAGTTTGCTGAGAATGATGGTTTCCAGCTTCATCCATATCCCTACAAAGGACATGAACTCATCATTTTTTATGGCTGCATAGTATTCCATGGTGTATATGTGCCACATTTTCTTAATCCAGTCTATCATTGATGGACATTTGGGTTGGTTCCAAGTCTTTGCTATTGTATAGTGCCACAATAAACATACGTGTGCATGTGTCTTTATAGCAGCATGATTTATAATCCTTTGGGTATATACCCAGTAATGGGATGGCCTAAACTATTACACTGAAGAAACTGTATGTGAGGAGTCAAAATACTATTTATGCAATTATTGTATTGGATGGTATATATTCTTAGTTCCAAGCACCAAGTCAAAGGTAAAAATATGATAAACTCTGTTTATAATTTGAGAATTATTATAACCTTATAAATATACTTTAAATTCTATCTGTTTTAATTTAGATATGGAAACTAACATGTCCATTAATATTACAGGGTATTTGATAAATCATTTGGTATTCTTTCCTATATAGCACTGGTTTCCAACCTGAGATCCTCATGGCAATTATATGCCCAATTATATGTCCACTGAAATTATATGCCCAATTTTGTGAACAGAAGTGTGAGTATAGAAAATGTGCACACAGAGAAGGATTATAAATTTCATGGTCTCCTCTTCTTCACCTCCAATCTACTGATCTAGACTAAGTATTTCCTGTTTCTTTAACAGTTTTCATTTCCTTTTTAAAAAAAAAATCTTTAATGTATTGTAAAAATGGAAGAGGGAGGGATTATTTTATTTGCTGTGTTGAATGCTTTAGAAAGGCACCGGTAAGACCTCCGTAAGAACTATAACATTTTTTTTTCCTATTCCCACTTCCCTTCATCTGAGCTTTATGTCTCTGGGTAACTTTTAGATTACCCCCAACTTTGTCCACCTTCTGCCACTTCCCCAGCCATGACTGTCTTCAACATTACTGCCCCAAAATCGTATCTTTTCTCTAAATTGCAACAGCTCTGAATAATGCAGTTTTGTCTTCTGGCTTACTTAGACATCCAGGCCTAAAATTATGTAGCGTATGTGTGTCTCTGTGTGTATGTCTGCATATGTGTGCATGCAAATATATGCATATGTTATTTCTTCTCAAATGCCTCAACTGAAGTTGAAAATTGTATTTTACTTGTGCAAAACCCAGATAATTATTTTCATATCCAGTGTCAGTTTGAATCAGTAGAAGACAGTAGATATCTAGAGTGATCTGTTAGTTTTACATTGATTTTGCCAGTTTGATTAAAAAATCTGTTGCTAGCTTGATATTTGCAAAACTGAGACCAGCGTTTGTGCTTAGTGCTTTCTTCTTACTCACGGAAGGAGAGAATCAAATTGAAGGCATTCTTTATAGTTGCCATCTGAATGAGACATAATATATAATTCATAAACTGTTCTTATAATTACTGTTATGAGAAAAAATGTTAGTAACTAGTTTGTAAAACTTACCTCCTCATTATATATCTAGCACACAAATAAGCTTTAAGGCAGTAGATTTCCAGCACAATTTTGTAATTTTTAAATTTTCTCATTATTTCATTTTTAAATTCCCTCATTATTCCAAGGTTTTTATTTCCTCTTAAGTGGCTCTGGCTCAGTAGTATAGGCTATGTATATTGTGCCTTGATAAAACTTCTCATTAAAAAAAATATAGTCTGCCTGCCTCTCTTCACAGAATAACAAAAGGGACAGAAATTTTAAACAAGAAACTTTGACGTGAGGAACAAATCTAGTGGGAGCATTAATAAAAGCCCCCACTTATTGAGCTTATTTTATGTAATGCTTATTACAATCCTATGAGTAGGATTATTACCATCTGTGTGTTATACATTATGAGATTGAGTCTAAGAGAGTTTGAATAATTTGCTTTAATTTATGTAGCTAGCAATTGGCAATGCCAGGATTCTGGCTCTCACTGGGTCATACTGAGGATTCAAGAAATTGAAATAGGTAAAGTAGTGACAGCAGTAGCAACAGCAGAGCTCTTTCTGTTCCTCGATCTACAAACCTTTTCACTATAGAGTTTCATGCAGATGTAGAAGGTTATAAGCATCCTCATATTGCTTCTCAGTGTTTTGATTTACATGACAATTGTCAGGTTGACTTCAAGCTTCCCATTTCTCTTGAATATATTCTTCCTCATTATCTCAAAACCACCTTTATAAACATTAACTCTAACCCCAACTTCAGGACTCTCTCCTGTTCAAAAGCCTTTCCTAGGGCTTTCTTTACTAGGTTAACTTTCTGCTTCAAAGGAGGGTCTCCTTCCTTCCTTCGGTGGCCTGAGCTAACCATCCCAGTCTAAAGAAATGGCATAGGGTTTAATAATGCACTGAACTATGTTCTGAAACCAGGAGACCACATACTTCCTTTAGCATTTCTTGTCCCTTTGAGAGATACACAATTCTCAGTCTCTTCCTCAGTGGCAAACTACTGCTTGCTGTGTTCACCCTTTCTTCCTAAAGAGAGGTCTAAGGAACTGAAGCTGCTTTTTTCTTTCTTCTCATCTTAGGGGTATATATTTGTAAGGCTTGGTTACAGAGTATAATTAATTTGCATCAACTTTTATGTTAGAGAGTGAGAATTTCAGTCTTTCTCCTTTTGCTTCAGATAACACCTCAGATAAAACTACATTGATCAAGGTCTCCTCGTGGCCCTATATTGCTGACAGAAGATGCCCTCTTGTAAGTTAAGAAAGAGATGTCCCTGTTATCTCAAAAATGTAATATGTATCCCTGAAAACTTCCAAAGTAGATAATATTATCCTTACCTTTCTGCCTATCTAAGAACCCCTCTGGGCATTTCCTCACAGGAAATAGTGATTTTCTTTTGCTTCATCTCTGCGATAAGGCTAGTCAATTCCCAATCTCTGCTGGTAGCTCAGGTGTGAGAGCATAAACTTGTTTGACTGAGAAAGACTGAGATGTCCTTAAGGAGCCTTAGTCCTTAGGTCCGTAGTGCTTTTGATGCTTGCAATATTGTTTTCTCCCTAGAACTATGTGCTATTTCACAGCCTCCAGGAGGATAGAGTGTGCTGTTGTCTCTTCATATATTTGAAACATGCCTGCTGAGCTTTTTTAATCTAAAGGGAAGGAAGTACTGTTTTATTTGACATATGGAGCACTGATATCTGCTCCCTGAGATTGAAGAAGTCACTGCTTCTATCACCTTGACAAAGAAAGATAATAAACTGACTACAACACTGCAAGCTAAAGGGAAACTTTGATCACTCTACATTTCCACAGTTACTTGTATCATCTTTTTATGAATACTTAGTATACACCAGGCACTTTGGATACATCAGCTCATTGAATCTTCACAGCAACACTGGAAGATAGTTGCTATTAATCGGCACTTAATATTCATACAAACTAGATCCAGAGAGGTTAAATAACTTGCTTATGATCACATAAATAGTAAGAGACAGAGCTTTAATTCAAAGCCAATTCTTTTGGCACCAATTTGATACTCTTTTTACTTTGCCTAGTATTAACAACAAAGCATTTTAGCAACTTTGGGACCACCGAAACCATTCTCAACAAAAAGCTATGGTTAATAAATTTTGTGTGTGGTAGGTACTTAATCAGACGCCTGTTTTAACAGTGAATGAGTCTTAAACAGGAGCAGGTAATGTACAATCATGCAGTTACATTGACCTTAACTATCTTAAAACTGTTAGACAACTTAAATTACCTTTTCTGAATGATCTGGATAATAAAGGTGAGAATTATTCATTGTCTAAAACTTTCTCAGTATACAAATATTGACATATAAGATAGGCCAACCAATTTTCTGAATTCGTTAAATAGCGTTAAATGTTTTTACCATTCATATGGATACTTAAATTATAATAATGATTATGTTAAATTGTGTGTGTGTGTGTGTATGCCTGTCTTTTCTCCTCTACCATATTGTCACTTATGTTTGAACACATTACCTACATAAAGGAAAGAAAGTGCAGTGATGTAAAAACAGCACAGACTCCAGGATCTGGTGGATTAGGTTTGATAGCATACTCTACCAGTAAATGCCTGTGGGAAAGTTCCATAATATTTTAGCTCAGTTCCTTATCTGAAAAATGGAGGTAAACATGTATACCTTGCAGTGCTGATATGAAGCTTAATTGAGACAATATATGTTAAGTGCATATAGAAACATGACAGAAAATATTAAAATACAAAAAGAAAACATAGGCGGAAGCTCCAGGACATTGGTCTGGGTGGTGATTATTTGGATATGACCCCAAAAGCACAAGCAACAAAAGCAAAAATATATCAGTGGGATTACATTAAACTAAAAAGCTTCTGCACGGCAAAGGAAACAATCAATAGGGTACAGAGATAACTGGCCGGGCACGGTGGCTTACGCCTGTAATCTCAGCACTTTGGGAGGCTGAGGCAGATAGATCACGAGGTCAGGAGTTTGAGACCAGCCTGGCCAATCCGGTGAAACACCGTCTCTACTAAAAAATACAAAAAATTAGCCGGGCACGTGGTGGCGCATGCCTGTAGTCCCAGCTACTCAGGAGGCTTTGACAGGAGAATCGCTTGAACCCGGGCAGTGGAGGTTGCAGTGAGCTGAGATAGCACCATGGCACTCCAGCCTAGGTGACAGAGTGAGACTCCATCTCAAAAAAAAAAAAAAAAAAAAAAAAAAAAGATAACCTACAGAATGGGAAAAATATCTGCAATCCACATATCAGATGAGGGATTAATATCCAAAATGTATAAACAACTCAACTCAATAGTAATAAAGCAAATAACCTGATTAAAGAATGGGCAAAAGGCCTGAATAACCATTTCTCAATAGAAGACCTAAAATTAGCCAAAAGGTATATGAAATGAATGCTTAACTACTAATTACTAATAATCAGAGAAATGAAATTCAAAGCATAATGAAACATCACCTCCCAACTGCTAGACTGGCTGTTATCAAAAAGATGATGATAATAAGTATTGGCAAAGATGCATAGAAAAGGGAACCCTTGGACACTGTTTGTGAGAATGTAAATTAGTACATCCATTGTGAAAAAAAGTATGGAAGTTCCTCAAAAAATTAGAAATGGAACCCCCATATAATATAACAATCTTAGTACTGAGTATATATCCAAAGGAAACGAAATCAGTATTTCAAGGAGATATCTGCACTCCCATGTACATTGTGGCATAATTCATAATAGCCAAGATATAGAATCAACCTGAATGTTCATCAAGGGATGAATGAAGAAAGAAAATGTGGCATATATACAAAATTCAGCCATAAAAAAGGAGAAATTCTGTTATTTGTGATAAAATGAAGGAGCCTGAAGGTTATTAAGTGAAATAAGCCTGGCACAGAAAAAAGTACCATATGACTTCACTCAGATGTGGAACCTAAAAGAGTTGATCTCATGAAAATAGAGAGCAAGAATGTTGATTACCAGAGGCTGGGATGCTTGGGGGGTAGAGGGCATGATGGAAAGATGTTGGTCAATGGATCCAAAATTTTAGTTAGATAAGAGAAATAAAGCTGGGCGCGGTGGCTCACATCTGTAATCCCAGCACTTTGGGAGGCAGAGGCAGGCGGATCACGAGGTCAAGAGATTGAGCCCATCCTGGCCAACATGGTGAAACCCCGTCTCTACTAAAAATACATAAATTAGCTGGGCGTGGTGGTGGGTGCCCGTAGTCCCAGCTACTCGGGAGGCTGAGGCACAAGAATCATTTGAACCCGGGAGGCGGAGGTTGCAGTGAGCCGAGATCGCACCACTGCACTCCAGCCTGGCAAGAGAGTGAGACTCTGTCTCAAAAAAAAAAAAAAAAAGAAAGAAATAAGTTAAAGAGATGTACTTCTATAACATAGTGGCTATAGTTAATAACAGATTGTATTCTAGAAAAATATTGAGAGAAAATGTTACATTTTCTTACCACAAATGATAACATTGTGAAATAATACATACATTAGTTAGCTAGGTTTATTCATTCTACAATGTATTCATACTTCAAAATATAATGTTGTACGCAATAAATACATACATACAATTTTAGTAAATTCTAGTAATTTGTTGGTGTATTTTTTTGGGTTTTTCTATATACATAATCATATCAGCAGTGAATAATGACAGTTTTTCTTCCTCCTTTTCTTTTCTCTCCTTTCCTTCCCTTCTGTCCCCTCCCCATCTCTCTCTTTTCTTTTCTCCCCTTCCATCCCTTGTAGTTTTTATTCTCTCTTGTCTTACTCTGCTGACCATAACTTCCAATAAAACGTTGAATAGAGGTGGTGATAGCAAGCATCTTTTCCTCTTTTCTATTCTCAGAAAGAAAGCTTTCAATGTTTGACCATAAAAACATTATTTTTTATTCTAGGTTTTTGGTGGACACTCTATCATGTAAGGAATGTTCTCTTTTATTCCTCATTTGCCAACAGTGTATATTTAAAATCATGAAAAGATGTGAATTTATCCGGACTCTTGATCTACATTTTTTAAAAATACTATTTTTCCCTTTAATTGGTTAATATAATGAATGGCATTCATGGTTTTTGTTTGTTTGTTTTGCTTTGTTTTTTTCATAAACTAAGCATTTGAGTCTACAAAATTCCCTCTCATTGGTGATTATACTGTCCATGACATTGACATTGTGTCATTTTGGGTTCTTGATTTCGTGTGGGAGCTCCATTCACCCATCCAAATGGAAGTTTATGGATACTAGTGTTCAACAAATACCCCTAGGCTGAAACACTCTAAATGTTCACTTATATTTACATTGCTATGGTCACTTTTTTTGGTCTTGGAGTAGTCATTACTTTTTTGACAGATCATGATGCATTTGGAAAGATGTTTTTAAATATTTTATCTACTGTATTTAGTTGTTTCCAACAGCCTGTTTTTTCAGGGTATCTGTTATATATGC
The DNA here is from genome assembly GCF_000001405.40 of Homo sapiens. NCBI lineage: Eukaryota > Metazoa > Chordata > Mammalia > Primates > Hominidae > Homo > Homo sapiens. Next base: position 51,998,575 of record NC_000010.11, read on the forward strand.
TGTTGCAAACAGATGTCTAATATATTATTTATTTTTTTCAAAAGAACCTGAAGCATATATACCAAACTGTCACATTGTGTTAAATCTGAGTGAAGCATACATAGGTGTTTGTTTGTTACATTACCCTATAATTTTTGTATATTTTAAAATAAATCAATTATTTGCAATTTTTGAAGATAGTCCTCTTCTGTTTATCAGGGAAAGCATTCAGCATCTTTTAAAATTCTTGACTTTCCCTTCCCTTTAGATTATTCTCATTTCCCTTCACTGTCAAAGTCATTTTCCTGTGGCACTTCCAGGAGGGACTTTTCAGTCTTTTCATCTCGTGTTTGGTGGTGGGAACCCCAGAGCAATAAGCAAAAGCCTAAGGGTGTATGTGCTGCTTTTGTCTATAAAGAGTGGTGACTATTAAATGTTCACACTAACTTTCTAACATTTTTTATTTATCTGTGAAAGTCACCTGTTTCCTCACCTCTGTTTTTTGGGGTTTAGGGGAGCTTTTCTCTAGAACTTTAAACAGAAATGAATCTAACTATAACCAAAAGCAGCAGATGTGAGCTTATATGTGGGAGATTAAAAAGCTAAAGTCACTGCCTTTCTACTCTTTCCCAAGCTAAATCTCAGTTATGAATACAGCTTACTACCCTTTACTCCCTTGTGTCTGCTTCCAAATACAAGTTGAGGGCGTTACATTGTCCGGGACAGAACTACAATTTGTGTCAGCAGGACATGCCCGGAAGGGATGCCATCTGTTAAGTGACTCACTATTAGAGAACAGACCCATATGATGGGCTTTTAGGGGATGAACTTTATAAAACTGAGCACTAGTAAAAGGAAACTTGCCAGCTTCGTAGGGATGTTTTAGGGTTAGAATTGCAACACCAGAATCAACGTGAACTTGGATTAAATTTAAAATATACTTTCATTGTTATTACTTTTTAAACATACCTATCTCCGTATCTTTATCTATCTTTTGGAGGAATTAATGAATAGGTATTCTGTTTCTAAATATATAAACAGAACTAAGGTGGCTTTTCTTTTTGGATAATTCTAGAACCATGGATACATAATTCTTTTCTTTAGAATACTTTGCATATACTTTAAGAGTTTATATATATTTACTTTGCTTCCACTTTTTTGAGAGGATCTTTGATAATTTAAAGAATTAAATTTATAAAAATTCAGGTACAGATGTATTTTTCAGTCTTTAGTATAATTTGTATATCTCCATGCATTTTAAGGGATCATGAGATAAAAAGGTTAACTTTTTTCAACTATATATTTTTTAAACAAAGTTAAACAACAATAATAGCAAGACTAAAGAATAATGAAGTTAGGCAGAATATGGATCAGAAGTTTGGCATAGGAAAAATTTTCGAATTTATATTAGTCCAATAAAAGGTTTCAATTTGGCTTTTTAATGTACTATGGAATATTATAACCCTTTCTGATTTTTTAATGCATTTTCATGTTTTGTTCCTTTATTGTTGTTCCATAAAGTTCACTCACACCCTTTCCATTACATTTTTTTCAAATAAAATCTCAGATAAAATGCAGTTCCACATTTATGGGAGATAATAAAAAAGCAGAGCTCAGGATGATACATATTTGACTTCTGTTTAGCTGCATTGTTTTATGATAGGACATTAGAAGGCAGGAGAGGATAAGTGCTATGAAAAAGGAAACTGCATTATTGTTTTTCGTAGACTATACATAAACATTGGAGATATCAAAAATGAGTGAGACAGCAATATATATATATAATTTCAACAGATGATTGAAATGTTTCTGTAAATTAAAAGAAGTATTTTAATACTTCAAGGTGATAATCTTATTTATTGTGTATTTTCATCTCTACACATGCATTTTTCTTGAGCTACTCAATGGGAATCTAAATATAGAAGGTGAGAAATCAAGATTGGCATTTACACGAACATGGCCTGTATTTTGTTGAAATATTGTGGTGCGTAGTTTGAGTTAGAGTTCTTTTGGGTAATACAGAATTGGTTGTGAATGAAAGCACCCTTTCAGAGATCTTAGAAGGACTGGACTTCTTATAACTTGACATCTTCTAACTGCTTCTCTTCTTCTATCTCTTCTACTTATTCAACAACACCATAGGGTTTTTTTCTTTTTTGTTGTTGTTAAAATATTCGTGAACATAAAAACACACTCTCACACATTGAATTAGTAAGCAAAAATGGTTTAAAGAAGATCTTAATTGCCAGAGTATCAAATGAAATTTGTCTTCCAGCTACTAATCACTTCAATGTAATAAAATCCCTTTACAACCAAAAAGTCAAAAAGTTTTAATAATGTAACAGCTTAAAAGCCATCACAAGAATCTGAAATTTGAGCAACTCAAAAAAATGACTTCAATTTTTTGAGTTGTACCCTGAAGTTTTGTACCCTGTGAACTATATCTCCTCTCCCTGCCAAACACCTAGTAACTACCATTCTACTCTCTATTACGGTGGGTTCAAAGTTTTTTTTTCGATTCCACATTTAAGTGAGGTCATGCAGTATTTGTCTTTCTGTGTCTGGCTTATCTCACTTAGCATAATGTCCTGCAGGTTCAACCATGTTTTTACAAATGACAGGATTTCCTTCTTTTTCAAGACTGGATAATATTTCATTGTGTATAACTTTTCTTTACCCATTCATCTGTTGATGGACACTTCAGTTATAAGAAGAATAAATACAGAGACCTAATGTACAACATGGTGACTATAGTTAATAATGTACTGTACACTGCAATTTGCTAAGAGATATTTCAAGTGTTCTCACCATAAAAAAAAAAAACATAACTATGTGAGGTGATGCATATGTTAATTAGCTTGTGGTAATCATTTTACAATGTATATACCTACATCCAAACATCACATTGTATATCCTAAACATATACAACTTTTTTTGTCAGTCATACCTCAGTAAAACTTGTTGAAAATTTTTGCCTCTTTTTTAGGAATTTATAGATGAGGGATTTTTTTTCCTTCAGTCATTTTTTTTCCCTAAAAATCTGTTAAGTGGTATTTAAATATAAGACTCTCTATCTTAATAGCAGACTTTTAAAGTGTCCTGAGTAGCAAAAGTAAATACTTAAAAATGTATTGAAACAAAAATAGAAGTAAAAGGAAATAAAAATAACCTCTACCACCATTGTTTAAATGTACAGAATTGTCATCTCAACCACCCATATTTACTTGGTATGAACTCCTGTTTATTATTAAGATTCTTGATTCTTAACGTATGGAATTTAGAACTATAAAATGGACAGTCTTAATATTACTTCACCTCATACATCTTTTAAACTGTTTAAATCTAGAGTAAATGGTTACACAAAACACATGTGAAGTTGGGGCTGATTCTCTTCCTTTGGTATGGAAAAAAGAACAGCAACCATGAAATAAGAATTGTATATGATCCATGAAAAGGAAAGGAAAAATTAAGCTAATAACTATCAGTGAGATCTATAAACCCATTTCCCATCTCTTCACAAGTATTCCCAAGAAATATTATTCTTTCTACATTTGTGATCAATTATTTCAAGACCAGTTTTAATTTGAAGGATTATAATCCTATTATCCAATTACTTGGCAAAAGACAAGCTCAGATTTATATTTTTAATACTGCCTTCTTTTTCAGTGATGGATTACATAACAAGTTCTTTGCAAATTCTGTTTATTATTAGGCACATTTCTGGTTTTGACAAATTAAGCCTGTCTGCTTTTGTCATCACTTCTTAAGCTTTATACAGTATCTACACAATTTGAGGGAATACTTTTTGTTTCCACTCAGAGTTTGGTTAATGCTTTCTTCTTACTATTTTGTGATGGTTTGTCTTATAACACACTGGTGCCTCCTTTTCTTCATTTCTTCCTTTTTTCTTGCCTTCCCTCCTTTCTTTCTGAGAAATGTTAACACGGATCCACTCAATGGCACTGTGCTGTTGACGTAGAATAAAACAAAATAATGTGCCATTGTGTAGGTGACTCACCCTCAAGATTGCTCCAGTTAAGGAGAGAATCTATCCCTGAGTTTTTATATTACTAATTATTGAGTGGCAGCTTTTCTTTTCTTTGGGTTTCACAGCATGTGCCTTTGGACAAAGAACTAGGGAAGATGTAAAAGATGAGTTTATAATACATCAAGATATAAATGTTAACACCCTATGCTGTTCATGTAAATACTAAAAACACTATGAAAGATCATCAGCAGCAGTTTTTTCTTGCACTTTTTCAGCTCTCTTGACATATATGGTTACAGTTGGAGGCATTTTTCAGTGTACCAATTAAAATATTTTTTTTTCTACACAATCCAGCAAAAGTGTGAGAGTAAACATAATAGAATTTGAGTTAGCGAAAGTTAGTATGACATGTGAGGTTGTGGTTTTAGTGCATAGTGGTTATTTGTTTATGAATCTTATTCTGGCTGTGTCTCATTTACCGTTCTCAACTCTGTCTCTGCATTTCTTTCACCAAATGCCTCCTTGCATGGTGTTTAAGCCTGCAAACTCTTCTTTCCTGGTTCCATCCCGGTATCATTCTTTTTTTATGACCAAACTACACTGTGTACTGAGTGAAGGACAGTGCTACTTTTAAGAGATAGGATCTTGGCTGTGCCACTAATTAACTGGTGCCCTTAAGAAAGTGAATTAACCTTGTTGAAATACAGTTTCCTCAATTATAACACATTTACAGTTCCCTATATGACCTATGATGCAGCTTTCTGAAATTTCTTGATTCATTTATTTTGAGTTTGTGTTCTTTTTAGTCTAAATCTCATTATCCTCAAATTCCATTCTCCTTTGCAAATCCAGGTGTTCAATCATGTAGGTAAAATAGAAGTAGGATTAAGAAAGTCATGAGGGAAACAACTTGGCTATGAAACATTGTAAGAACAGCAACAGTAAAGAAGTTTTGGAGTCTTGTGCTCATCTTTTTTGTCCTTTTCTTGCCCCTCCCAACAGTTGTGTCTTTCTCATATATACATTTATTCAGCAAACATTATTGAACACCTTCCAAAGATCTGATGCTGGTCAGACTCTCAGAACCCAGATACGAACCAGACGAAGAGTCAGGAATATCCGTCTGGGGAAGCTACAGAAGAGAAAGCTGACATTTTCTCTAGCTGAGCAATCCACAAGCTGTTATGGATACATATAGGAGACACAGAGAGATAATAATAACCTAGAGAAACAATTCCTCAATCAATCCTGGTTTTCCTCTCATATTTCTGCAGCCCATCTATGTCCCTCTGAATCCTTCTTTGTAGCTTAGTGCTCATGAGTAGGCTCTGAAGTCAGACTTCCTGCACTGGTAGCTCAGCTCCTTAATCTAGTTACTTTGTGGCCCTAGAAAGTCATTTAACCTCTCTGTCAGTTTTCTCATCTGTAAAATGTGAATAACAATAACTGTCTAGGTTATAAGATTATGAGAGTTGAATGTATATATAATGTTTAGTATAGCTTTTTGCACGTAATAAGCATTCAATAAATTAACTATTCATATTAATTATCTCTACTTTTGTCATTTCCTCTAAGTGTTTTAAGAAGACATTGAATTTGTAAACTTCTAGATGTTTCTATTCAAAATGATATTCTCCTCACAAACCACTTTTTGGCTGTAAACTCCGGGATGGCAGGTATTTTTGTTTTTGTGTGTGTTTGTTTTTAATTATATTTTCAAATGCTAGTAAAATTCTGGCACAAATAAATATTAGAAGAAAGAAGGAAGGCAAGAGTTACTTGCATTGTTGAAAACAATAATAATGTCAACTGCATGTTGATAAACAGGTAGAAATTCCTAAAATATATTAAAACAAGATAAAGATGATAAGACAACACTAATTCTTAGCTAAAAACTGAAGTATCATTACTTCTCTTCAGCATCTCCTGGGACTGAATCTATCCTCCCAGAGCCCATCTAGACAAAAGATCCCCATCTACTGGATAATGTGTGAACAGCATCTAACGAATATGATTCTTATGTATGTTAGGGAGTTAATTTAATTTTCCTTAAAAATGCATAGCATGGAATGTCATATTTGGGACTGTTTTGTGAGGTCTTGCTCAAGGAGAGGAGATTAGTGTTGCAGAGTGACCTGGAAGTGGTAGGGGGGAAACGTTCATAATTTACTTAATTTGCTGCTATTGTTACCATATTATTCATTCAGCATGTTCTATTTTTGAAATTAAAATACAGTTTTAGAGGCGCAGTGGCTCATGCCGGTAATCCCAGCACACTGGGAGACTGAGGTGGGAAGATTGCTTGAGCCCAGGAGGTCGAGGTTGCAGTGAGCTGTGATCATGCCACTGTACTCCATCCTAGGTGACAGACTGATACCCAGTCTCCAAAAAATAAAAGAAAAAGAAATATGATTTTTTAAAAATTTAATCATTATCAATATGAGTTTGCCTAAATCCCCCTTCACCTTCCTTTCAGTTATAGTTTTAGGAGCCAACAAAATATATTTTCTTCCTTATTTCATGTGTTACAGGACTTTTGATAGGCAAGCTCTCTATAAGGGTTTGCTTAAGTTATTTTCTATACCCTGAAGCTTGCCTTTTCTTTTCATTAATACCACCCTGGAGAAATGGCATATATGACAATGTGGCATTTGTGACTTATACAATATAGCAATGTGGCTTATGGATGAATGAAAGGGTAATGCCCATCTTTTTTTTTTTTTTTTTTTTCATTCAGTAGAGACGGATTTTTGCTATGTTGGCCAGGCTGGTCTCGAACTGGCCTCAAGTGATGTGCCCACCTCAGCTTCCCAAAGTGCTAGGATTACAGTCATGAACCACCCAGTGACCAGCCAGTGCCCATGTTTTTAAAAGGCTGTGGAGCTTCCTATTGTCCTGAGAAATACCTGGACAGCAAAGTGTGTGACCCCACCCAACCCTGCCACTGGTAGTTAGGCAGGCATTGCATGCTAGAGCTTCTGGCCCTGTGGCCTGCTTCTGTTTGAACTCAACTGGTGGGCACAGCTCGCTGTTGTCCCAGTAAGCACATGGACAGTAACATGGGCATTTCCACCCACCCCTGCCATTGGTAGCCAGGTGAGCAATGACTGTTAGAGTTTCTAGCCCAGTGGTTCTACTTCTGCCTGAATTTGCTGAGGGATGCAGTCTTCTGTTGCTCTAGAAACATCCAGATGTCAGGGTGGGCAGGTCCACCAATCTTACCTCCCATAGCCAAATGAGCCATACATGCTGGAGGTTCCAACCTGACAGTCCTGCTTCCACCTAAACTCTGTGGTCAGTTGCAACCTCATGTTTTCACAGGAAGCACACAGATGCAGATCAGGGCCAACCTGGCAAGGATATGGCTTATCTGCCTGAGGAGGCCCTTGGACCACAACACCGAGAAGAAGAACTGAAGCATGGGGAGAATAATCAGAGGTGTCATTAAGACACAGTAGCAAACTAGCATCAAAGCCAGTCAACTGAACCCACCTTATACCATAATCAAACCCCCAAGGGCATCAAATAAGATAAAAGAAAACAAAACAAACAAACAAACAAAAAAAACAAGTCTATCAAAAAGACAGCAACTTCAAAGATTGAAGGAACATCATCAGCCCACATAAATGAGAAAGAACCAGTGTAAGAACTCGTTCAACTCTGGCAACTCAAAAAGCCAGAGCACTTTCTTTCTTCCAAATGACCACACTTGTTCCCTAGCAAGGGTTCTCAACAAGGCTGAAATGGCCGAAGTGACAGAAATAGAATACAGAATATGGATGGGAATGAAGATCATCAAGATTCAGGAGAATGTAGAAACTCAATCCACAGAATCTAAGAATCATAATAAAATGATACAGGAGCTGATATACAAAATAGCCATTATAAGAAAGAACCAAACTAATCTGATAGAGCTGAAAAATACACAAGAATTGCATAATGCAAATGTTATTAACAGCAGAATAGACCAGGCTGAGGAAAAAATTTCAGAGCTCAAAGACTGGCCCTCTGAAATTACTCAGTCAGACCAAAATGAAGAAAAAAGAATGAAAAATAATGAACAAATCCTCCAAGAAATATGGGATTACATATAAAGACCAAATCTATGATTCACTGATGTCCCTGAAAGAGGGAAAAAACAAGCAACTTAGAAAACATATTTCAGGTATCATCCATGAAAACTTTCCCAACCTTGCTAGAGAGGCCAACATTCAAATCTAGGAAATGCAAAGAAACCCTGTGAGATATTACATAAGGAGATCATTCCTAAGTGACATAATGATTACATTCTCTAAGGTCAAAATGCAAGAAAAAATGTTAAAGGCAGCTGGAGAGAAGGGGTGGATCACCTACAAAGGGAACCCCATCTGGCTAACAGTGCACTTTTAAGCAGAAACCCACAAGCCAGAAGACATTGGGGACATGTATTCAGCTTTCTTAAAGAAAAAAAAATTCCAACCGGGAATTCCATGTCCAACCAAACTAAACTTCATAAGTGAAGGAGAAATAAGATCCTTTTTCAGAGAAGCAAATGGTGAAATAATTTGTTACGACTAGACCTGCCTTACAGGAGCTGCTGAAGGAAGCTCTATGGAAAGGAAAGACCGTTACCAGCAAGTACAAAAACACACTTAAGTACACAGACAAGTAAACTATAAAGCAACCACAAAAAAGAGTCTGTATTTAACATCAACAACTACCATCACAATGACAGGATCAAATCCACATGTATCAAAACTAACCTTCAGTGTAAACAGGCTAAATGCCCCCATTTAAAAGGCACAGAGTGGCAAGGTGGATAAAGAAATGAGACCAAATGTTATGCTGTCTTCAAGAGACCCACCTCATATACAATAACATTCTTAGGCTCCAAATAACAGGATGAAGAAAAATATACAAAGCAAAGAAAACACAGAATAAAGCAGAGATTGTAACTGTAATTTCACACAAAATAGACTTTAAACCAACAAAGACCAAAAAGACAGTGAACAGCATTATATAATGGTAAAGGGCTGAATTCAACAAGAAGACCTAACTATCTAAATATATGTGCACCCAATATAGGAACACCCAGATTCACAAAGCACATTCTTAGAGACTTATGAAGAGATGTGAATTCCTGCACAACAATAGTGGAAGTCTTCAACACTCCACTGACAGTATTAAACATATCATGGAGGCAGAAAATTAACAAAAATATTCAGGACTTGAACTCAATACTTGCCCAAATGGACCTAATAGACATCTACAGAACTCTCCACCTAAAAGCAACAGAATATACATTCTTTTCATCACATGGTACATATTCTAAAATGGTACACACTCTAAAATCAGACATAAAATAGTACTCAGCAAATGTGGAAAAACAAAAATCACACCAAACACAGTCTTGGGCTACAGTGCAGTAAAAATTGAAATCAATACCAAGAAAATCCCTCAAAATAACACAATTACATGGAAATTAAACAATCTGCTCCTGTATGACTTTTGGAAAATAATGTAATTAAGGCAGAAATCAAGAAAATCTTTGAAACTAATAAGAACAAAGATACAACATACCAGAATCTCTGGGACACAGCTAAATCAGTATTAAGAGAGAAGTTTCTAGTACTAAACACCCATATCAAAAAGTTAGAAAGATCTCAAATTAACAACCTAACATTACTAGCAGAAGAACTGGAGAAGCAAGAGCAAACCAACCTCAAAGCTAGCAGAAGACAAGAAATAATCAAAATCAGAGCTGAACTGAAGGAAATTGAAACGTGTAAAACCACATAATACATCAACAGATGTAGGTGTTGGTTTTTTGAAAAAATTAATAAGATAGACGACTAGTTAGACTAATAAAGAGAAGAAGAGAGAAGATTCAAATAAGCACCATTAGAAATGGCAAAGGGGACATTACCACTGACCTCACAGAAATACAGAAGAACCATCAGAGACTACTATGAACACCTGTGTTCACACAAGCTAGAAAATCTAGAAGAGATGCATAAATTCCTGGACACATACAATCTCCCAAAACTCAACCAGAAGAAATTAAATCCCTGAACAGACTAATAACAAGTTCCAAAGTTGAATCAATAATAAAAACCCTACCAACCAAGAAAAGTCCAGTTGGATTCACAGCCAAATTCTACAAGATGTATAAAGAAGAGCTGGTTTTTAAAAAATTGTCAAGTTTCCTCCCCAGTTTTTTGGAACAGTTTCAACAGGAATGTAATAGATATAAAAATCCTCAGCAAAATACTAGCAAAATGAATCTAGCAGCACATTAAAAAGCTAATTCACCATGATCAAGTAGGCTTTATCCTTGGGATGCATGTTTGGTTCAACATATGCAAATCAATAAATGTGACTCATCACATAAACAGAACTAAAAAAACACATATTTATCTCAATAAATGTAGAAAAGGCTTTCAATAAAATTCATCATCCCCTCATAGTAAAAACCCTCGATAAACTAGGCATTGAAGAAATATACTTCAAAAAAATAAAAGCCATCTATGACAATCTCACAGCCAACATTATACTGAATGGGCAAAAGCTGAAAGGATTCCCTTGAAAAACAGCTCAAGTGTGCCCTCTCTCACCACTCCTATTCAATATAGTATTGGAAGTCCTGGCCAGAGCAATCAGGCAAGAGAAAGAAATAAGAGACATCCAAATAGAAAGAGAGGAAGTCAAATTCTTCCTATTTACAGATGATGTGATTCTATATCTAGAAAACCCCATTGTTTCTGCCCCAAAGGTCCTTGATCTGAGGAACAACTTCAGTAAACTTTCATTATACAAAATCAGTGTACAAAAAATTAGTGTCATTCCTATGCACCAACAGCATCCAAGTCAAGAGCCAAATTAGGAGTGAAATTCCATTCATGACTGCTACATAAAGAATAAAATACCTAAGAATACAGCTAACCAGGAAGGTGAAAGATCTCTACAATGGTAATTACAAAACACTGCTCAAACAAATCAGAAATGGCATAAACAAATGGAAAAACATTTCATGCCTAGGGATAGGAAGAATAACATCATTAAAATGGCCATACTGCCCAAAGGAAGTGTACAGATTCAATGCTATTTCTATCAAACTACCAATGACATTCTTCACAGAATTAGAAAAACTATTTTAAAATTCATATGGAACCAAAAAAAGAGGCCACATAGGCAAGGCAATCATAAGGAAAAAGAACAAATCTGGAGGCATAACATACTCAACTTCAAACTGTAGTACAGGCAACAGTAACCAAAACAGCATAGTACTGGTTCATAAACAAATAAATAGAACAGTGGAACAGAGTAGACAGCACAGAAGTAATGTTGCACACCTACAACCATCTGATGTTTGACTGAGATGATGAAAACAAGCAATGGGGAAAGGACTCCCTATTCAATAAATGGTGCTGGGATAACTGGCTAGCCATATATGGAAGATTGAAACTGGACCTCTAGCTTCCATCTTATATCAAAAATCAACTCAAGATTGATTAAAAAGTTAAATGTAAAACCTAAAACTATAAAACTCATGGAAGATAACCTAGGAAGTAGCATTCTGGACAAAAGAATGGGCAAAGATTTCATGACAAAGACACAAAAAGCAATTGCAAAAAAATCAAAAATTGGCAACTGGTATCTAATTAAACTAAACAGCTTCTCCACAGCAAAATAGACTATCAACAGAGTAAACACACAGCTTACAGAGTAGGAGAAAATACTTGCAAACTATGCATCTGACAAATGTCTAATTTCCAGAATCTGTAAGGAACTTTATAAGCAAAAACAACAAACAATCACATTAAAAAGTGGGCAAAGGACATAAACAGACACTTCTCAAAAGAAAACAAAGGATATAAACAGACACTTTTCAAAAGAAAACATGCATGCAGCCAATACGCATATAAAAAATGCTCAAGATCACTAATCATTACTTAAACCAGGGGTGTTGAAAAACTAACTGCTGAGTACTATACTCATCATCTGGGTGATAGGATCTTTCATATTTCAAACTTCAGTGTCATGTAATACACCCATGTAACAAACCTGCACATGAACACCCTGAATGTAAAATAAAAGTTAAAATTATTTAAAAAAAGAACCTGCAGAAGCAGATGGAAGACCTCAAATAATCCAGATAAACCGACGGCCTTCCCACTCCCCACTTGTGACATTGGTTAAAAAGAAAATGTTGCGAATTCCTATTCTTTATGATGAAGATGGCCTCCCATTATCTGTTAAGACTTGCAACCAATGTTGTTAGCCTGATTTTAGGGACAAACTTCAGAATACTCATAAGAGCACAGCAATAATGAGTACTCCAGAAAGAAAAAGCCAAACCTTGTGATTGTGGTGCTGAAGCAAGCTTCTCTGACTTCTAGAGACTTTGTCATTTTGTTCATCCCTTCTGGAGGTATTTAGTAACCCAAATGTTCCATATCTCCTTTACTTGATTCAAGCATGAAAATCTGTTCTGTCAGTGTTGGACAGTTCTCTTAGCTCTATCATAGCAAGTAAGAAGCAGCCATTTAATTTCAGAATGCCAAGTACCCAGAGCAGAATGTGGTGTGATTAGCTTATGTTTATTAATTGTTGGTAGATAGACCTGGTTAGGTAGGCCAAACAGCCTGAAGGAAAATTTCACACAGAACTTTTTTCCCTTTAAGTTTCTGCCTTCAGAGGAACATCCAGGCTTTATTTTTAGAATTCATTTTTTTATGCTACATAGTTCTAGGCTGCATAGATCAGCTGGTATTAATAAACCTGTTGTTTTGCCAAAAGCCTACATGTGCTGTTATGGCCTTCTTCAACTATTTAACTTCCCAAAAATATGTGTCAGTGGTCAGAAGGATGACTGAAAAAGCAGACATGCATAATTCTACAAAAGGTTTCTCCTTTTTCCAATGGCAAAATAACTTCCTTTCTCCCCTCCGCCTCCTTTTTTTGGTCCTATCTAGAGCCTCAAGACCACATTTATTTCCCCCAACATATACCCTGCTTGCATCACCAAGTTCATCCTTTTCAAGTGCTCCTTTGCTTCTCCTGGAAACAGTTTCTTAAAATAGAACAAATGTGTACTCCTCATCTGATTTGTTACCACTTGTAATTCCCAATCTTACTTCTTCCCATCAATGCCAAACTGGTTGACAGAGCAGATTTTTAACATTGCCTCCATTTCTAGTCACCTCTTGATATGGTTTGGCTCTGTGTCCCCACCCAAATTGCATTTTGTCACTCCCGTAATTCTCTTGTGTTGTGGGAGGGACTCAGTGGGAGATGATTGAATCATGGGGGCAGGTCTTATGCTGTTCTCGTGATAGTGAATGGATCTCATGATATCTGATGGTTGTAAAAATGGGAGATTCTCTGCACAAGCCCTCTCTCTTTGCCTGCTGCCATCCATGTAAGACTTGACTTGCTCCTCCTTGCCTTTTACCTTCCTCCCGGCCATGTGGAACTGTAAGTCCAATAAACCTCTTTTCTTTTGTAAATTGCTCAGTCTTGGGTATGTCTTTATCAGCAGCATGAAAATTGACTAATACACCTCTCTTTCACTCTTCACTGTGCTCCCCATTTTATGAAATTCCACATAGTTGTCTAGTTTAGTGATATTCTATTTTTACTCTCCCTTTGCACATTTTCTGTTTCACTTGGACTATTGCACAGTTTTGTTTTTTTCCATGTTCTTTTTGAAGGATTTATTTGCCTTTTTTTTTTTTTTGAGACAGGGTCTGACTGTAGTGCCCAGGCTGGAGTAAAGTGGCACAATCTCAGCTCACTGCAACCTCCACCTCCCGGGTTCAAGCCATTCTCCTGCCTCAGCCTCCTGAGTAGCTGGGACTACAGGTGCCCACCACCACTCCTGGCTAATTTTTTTGTATTTTTAGTAGAGACAGGGTTTCACCGTGTTAGCCAGAATGGTCTCGATCTCCTGACCTCGTGATCTACCCGCCTCAGCCTCCCAAAGTGCTGGGATTACAGGCGTGAGCCACCGCGCCCAGCCGCGCCCAGCTAATTTTTTTATTTTTAGTAAATACAGGGTTTCACCATGTTGGCCAGGCTGGTCTCAAACTCCTGACCTCAAGTGATTTACCCACCTCTGCCTCCCAAAGTACTGGGATTACAGGCATCTGGCTTATTTGCCTTTTTAAAATGCAATATTGAGCACCAGCTAAATCCTAGATAGAGAGATGAGGAGGTATAATTAGTAATAATAATATTATTATTGATAGTTAATTCCTATGGGATATATATTATGGATCAAGTACTGTTCTAAATGTCTTAGACAAATGAACTCATTTTCACAGAATACCATGTGTGAGATGTGATTATATTCACCGCATACTATGTCAATACCATGTGGTAATTATTATACTAGTATTATTACTTCCATTTATAAAGCAAAGAAACTGGAGTTCAGAAAAAATAAATTCTCCAATGTCACATTCAGTATTAGAGCTATTTGAGTGAGTATGGTCCTTGCCCTTAGGAATGTTGTAGTCTAATAAAATAGTAAACTCAGGCTGCATACGTATAATTCTAATGTAAAGCAGGGTGTGATAAAGGTTAACCAGTGCTTCAAGAAAGATGGTTGGGAGGGCCGGGTGCGGTGGCTCACGCCTGTAATCCCAGCACTTTGGGAAGCCAAGGCAGGAAGATCACGAGGTCAGGAGATCGTGTCCATCCTGGCTAACACGGTGAAACCCCGTCTCTACTAAAAATACAAAAAAATTTGCCAGGCGTGGTGGTGGACACCTGTAGTACCAGCTACTCGGGAGGCTGCGGCAGGAGAATGGTGTGAACCTGGGAGGCGGAGCTTGCAGTGAGCTGAGATTGTGCCACTGCACTCCAGCCTGGGTGACAGAGCGAGACTCCGTCTCAAAAAAAAAAAAAAGAAAGATGGTTGGGAGGTTGTTGGGAATGCACTGTGACTGGGAAAATAAAGTGAGGAGGAGGAGGTAGTATTTTTGCTGTCTCTTGAATGGGTGGAACTCTTCTAGTTGAGTATTAGGGGACAGTCCTAAACTATAGGTACAGCATAAGCAAAGGTAGTAGCATGAGCTTATGTTCGAGAAAACTGGGGAGTCTGATTTGCTTTGAGCACAGGACATGTGTAGAGAGGCAGTGGGAAATGTAATTGCAGGCCTTGATTCAAAGAAATTTTGACTTTAATGTGTGTTTGAAGTGGGGACCCCTTGATGAATTTTAGAAATAGCAGTGGCTGATCAACCTGTATGTTAGTAAGATAGCTATGGCAGCAGTATGAAGGATGCTATTTTCTCAAGTCTGTTCTTGATATCACTCACTTTTCTCTTTCCTCTTTACTCACCTCTGTGGGTATCATGCAAGGCTTTCTCTCCTTGATTTTGTGCACTCTATCTTGGGTGCTCATTCCTTTTCCTGGACTCACTGCCCTTATATTTAGCTGACTGCCACATTTCCTGCTTTTTCCTTAGTTACTCCCAATTTTCTAAGGAAGAGAGGAATCCAGATAGAATACTCTGAAATAATGCATTACTAAACTTGGTGTCAGGAGTGGGAAAGAAAAAGGAAAGGACAGGATTGAAGTATGAGGGGACTAGTTTCAAGAAGAAGAGGTATTTCAAAGATTATTGTGTTAGTCTACTTGCACATTGCTATAAAGAAACTACCTGAGACTGGGTAATTTATAAATAAAAGAGGTTTAATCGACTCATGGTTTCATATGGCTAGGGAGGCCTCAAGAAACTTACAATCATGGCAGAAAGTGAAGGGGAAGCAAGGTACATATTATATGGTGGCAGGAGAGAGAGAGAAGGCATGGGGGAAGAGCCAAACACTTTGAAACCATCAGATCCCATGAGAACTCATGCACTATCCCTATCATGATAACACCATGGCGGAAACAGCCTCCATGATCCAATCACCCCCATCAGGTCTTGTCCTCAACACTTGGGAATTACAATTCAAGGTGATATTTGGGTGGGGACACAGAGCCAAACCATATCATTCTGCCCCTGGTCCCTCACAAATCTCATTTCCTTTACACATTTCAAAATTAATCATGCCTTTCCAACAGTACCCCAAAGTCTTAACTCTTTCCAGCGTTAACTCAAATGTCCAAGTTTGAAGTATCATCTGAGATAAGGCAAGTCCCTTCTAACTAAGAGCCTGTAAAATAAAAAACAAGCTAGTTACTCCCAAGATATAATGGGGGTACAGGCATTGGATAAATGTTTCTGTTCCAAATGGGAGAAATTGGCCAAAACAAAGGGGCCACAGGCCCCATGTAAGTCTGAAAGCTGGCAGGGCATTCATTAAATCTTAAAGCTCCAAAATAATCTCCTTTGACTCCATGTCTCACATTCAGGGCACACTGATGCAAGGCATAGGTTCCCAAGGCCTGAGGCAGCTCTGCCTCTGTGGCTCTTCAGGGTACAGCCCCCACAGCTGATTTAATGGGCTGGCATAGAGTGCCTGTGGCTTTTCCAAGTGCATAGTGCAAGCTGTTAGTAAATCTACCATTTTGGGGTCTGGAGGATGGTAACCTTCTCACAGCTCTTCTAGGCAGTGCCCCAATGGGGACTCTGTGTGGGGGCTCCAGTCCTACATTTCCCTTCTGCATTGCCCTAGTATAGGTTCTCCACGAGGGCTCTGTCCCTGCAGCAGACTTCTGCCTGGACATCCAGGCATTTCCATACATCCTCTGAAATATAGGCTGAGGCTCCCAAAGCTAAACTTTTGTCTCCTGCCTACCCATAGACACAACACCATGTGGAAGCTGCCACGGTTTGGGGCTTGAACCCTCTAAAGCAATAGCCTGAGCTGTAAATTGGCCCCTTTTAGCCATGGCTAGATTTGGAGCAGCTGGGACACAGCGCACCATGTCCCAAGGCTGCACAGAGAAGCAGGGTCTTGGGCCAGGCCCACAAAACCATTTTTCCCATCTAGATCTCCAGACCTGTGATGGCAGGGGCTGCTGCAAAGATCTCTGACATGCCCTGGAGACATTTTTTTCCATTGTCTTGGCTATTAACATTTGGCTCCTCATTACTTATGTAAATTTCTGCAGCTGGCTTGAATTTCTCCGCAGAAAATAGGTTTTTCTTTTCTATTACATGGTCAGGATGCAAATTTTTCAAACCTTTATGCTTTGCTTTCCTTTTAAACATAAGTTCCAATTTCAAATTATCTCTTTGTAAATGCATATGACTAAAAGCTTTCAGAATCATCCAGGTTATATACTGAATGCTTTGCTGCTTAGGAATCTCTTCTGCCAGATACGCTAAATTATCTCTCTCAAGTTCAAAGTTCAACGGATCTTTAGGGCAGGGGCGAAATGCTGCCAGTGTCTTTGCTAAAGCATAGCAAGGGTTATGCTTCAGTTCCCAATAAGTTTCTCATCTCCATCTGAGACCACCTCAGCCTGGACTTCATTGTTCATATCACTATCAGCATTTTGGTCAAAACCATTAAACAAATGTCTAGAAAATTCCAAACTGTCCTTCATCTTCTTGTCTTCTGAGCCTTCCAAACTGTTCCAGCCTCTGCGGATTACTTAGTTCCAAAGTCACTTTCACATTTTTAGGCATCTTTATAGCAGTACCCTACTCTGTCAGTACCAATTTTCTGTATTATTCCATTCTCACATTGCTATAAGGATACTACCTAAGAGTGGGTAATTTATAAACAAAAGAGTTTAATTGACTCACAGTTCCACATGACTGGGGAAACCTCAGGAAACTTACAATTATGGCAGAAGGCAAAGAGGAATCAAGACGTTTTTTATATGGCAGCAGGAGAGAGAGGACAATGGGGAATCTGCCAAACAGTTTTAAACCATCGGATCTTGTTAGAACTCACTCATTATCTTGAGAACAGCATTAGGGAAACTGCCCCCATGATCCAGTCACCTCCCACCAGATCACTCCCATGACATGTGGGGATTACAATTTGAGATGAGATTCAAGTGGGGACACAGAGCCAAACTATATCAATAATTCCATCATTCTAAAGTCTTTAATTTAGAAAAGTGAAAGAACGACAGGCATAATGTGGTTATTGGGGAAACAGCTGCTTTATAAAGAAAGGTAATGTCTCTTTTAGGATTTATGAAATGTGGAAATAATGTAGTCACTTACAAATATTTTCTAAATCCTTTATTATGTGCCAGACACCTTGCTAGGCTCTGAGGATGCAACAGTGAAAAAAAGAGAGTCCTTGATTTTATAGTATTTACATTCTGGTGGAAAGAGATAGAAAATAAGCATATTTATAAATGCTATATAATAAAAATTTTTTAAAAACACAGCAATAACAGAACAAGGTAAAATACAGAACAAAGAGATGAAGAGAAGAAGGAAAGGGAGGAGGGTATATTAACTAGGGCGGTCAGTCCTTCCTAAAGGGTTATTTTTTGAGCAGACACTTGAATTAATTCCCAGAGGTAGCCAGGTGACAAATTTGGAGAGAGAGCATAGTAGACAAAAAGACATGTAAATTCCCTAAGTAAGAAGTGTGGTTTGTCTGAGGAACAAAAAGAAGGTTATAGTGACTGAAAAAGAGGGAGTGAAGGCTTGAGTATTAAGAGATTAAAATGTATTTTAAGAAAAAGAAAAACAAAAGAGAGATACAAATTTTGAAGGTAGCATGCTAAGTGCTTTGGCTTTTGTTCTGTGTCATGGAGGAAACATGGAAAAATTTGAGCAGGGAAATGCAGTTCTCTGGTTTGAGTTGTAAATCTTCTCATTGCATTATGGAGATTTTACTGTATTTAAGACTGCTGAAAAGGGAGCATGGAGAAATCAAAATTAATGCAGAAGTCAAACCAGACAGTGTCATGGCTTGAACAGGTGCATTATGATGAGGAGTGGTTGGATTAGAGACATAGTTTTAAAGTGGTACTGACAAGTCTTGCTAGTGAGATGCCAGGGAAAGAAGATTCTGGGGCGATTCCAAGGTTTTGGGTAGATAGTAGGTACCACTGGTGATTCCAAGGTAGATGGTAGGTACCTTGGTGATTCCAAGGTTTTGAGGTAGATGGTAGGTACCATTACTGAGGAGGGGAAGATAGGAGCAGAAGTAGAATTTGATGGGATATAGATAAAAAGTTTAGATATGATACTTGCAAAATGCCTAGTAATTATCCAAATGGTGCAGTTAATTAGGCCATTGAATATGAGTCTGGAGGTCTGGGCTGCAGAGGAGTGGAGATAACCATGTGGAGTGTGATGCCACAATACCTAAGATGTTTCCCGGGATTCTAGACAATGGAAAGTGGCACAATTTCAGGAAACTTTACAAGACCCCTGTTGTAATTTATCTTTTTCCATAATTGCATGAAATCAGAACTTCTCAGTTTTATAAAGATCTTATTCATATATTGTAATATTAGCATTAAGAAGCTGAGGAAACTATCTTTGAACAACCCTATAAACTACAATTGCACTTTTCTCCTATTTTCTGGGCTGGAGACACTCACATTAATATTCCAGTGTAAGCATCGATTTGCCTAATTACGCAGTATTTTTTGGCCATCCACAGTTGTCATTTCAAGTTCAGTAGAGATCAACTCAGGGGTGACTTACAGCATGCTTTCTAAAAGATTTAGTATTTTGCAGGGTAAAATGACTAAATCATGAGTTCCAGAAACCTATTAACAGCTCATAAAATGTGGTGTTGAGCCAAATTTTGTCTCTTCACCTTGATAGGAATGATTTAATGAATGGGCAAGAAACTGTCTTTATTCATTTTGCATTTTGAAAGCATTTTATAAAATAAAACTGTGTACTCTTAATATTTAAAAGATAAGCATGTTCATGGACACCATGACTATTTATTTGTAAGATGGATTTAGTTTGTTGAATAGGTTTTTTATGTCCATTTTTATACACCAAGATACAAATTAGTTTCCTGTTCTACAACATCCACATAGATGTTGTAGATTATATTTTAAAAGGAAATACATTATACTGCCTCTTTTGAGGAATCATATGATTCTTGTACCAGATTAGCTCTGTAACCAAAACAGTCAAACAAATGAACAAACAACAAACCCCAAAACAACACAGGATCTTTTCATTTTATAAAATGTAACCTAGTTTCTTTCATATCCTTCTGGGAATGAGGTGGCTAATATCTCTATTTATGATCTTGTGTTTACTGATATCAAAGAATAATTGTACCGAGCAGAGTAAAACAGGTCAAGAGGACTTTAATTCAAGACCTCTACAATAGGGAAGATACATTGAATTCAACTCCATTGAAACAAAAGGTGGTAGGGTTTTTAAGCCCTGGAGTGAGCTAGTGAAAAAGTACTGGAAGACATTAGAGGGGAATTTGGTCAATGTGATTAGGCCAACTGTGTTTGCTAATTGGTGCTTATGAAAGTTAGGATCTGTCTTTGTCTGCTTCGTGTTGCTAAAAAGGAACACTTGCGCTTGGATAATTTATGAAGAAAAGGGTTCATTTTTCTTATGATTCTGGACAGCTGGAGAATGCAAGATTGGATATTGACATCTGGTGAGGGCCTCATCCTGCTTCTCATGGTGAAAAAGTTAAGAGGAGCTGCTTGTGCAAAGGCGTAGGGGGAGGTACCAGGCTCTATATAACAACCAGCTTTCCTAAGAACTAATGGAGTGGGAACTCAGTCACCCCACGGAGGGAAGGCATTAATCTATTCATGAGGGATTTGCCCCCATGACCCAAACACCTCCCATTATGCTGAATTTTCAACATTGGGGATCAAATTTCACCACGAGGTTTGTGAGGGACAAACATCCAAACTATAGCAGGATCCTACCCTCTTACAGAGACTAGGAGATGGTGTCATTATCCTTCTTGATGATTATGTTTCAAAGGGAAGACTCACAGGTTTTTGAGAAAGAAATTCCTGGGTTGTAAAACTGGTTACAGGCTGGAGGAAGATTTACATCTCAAAGGGGTAGAGAAAGATTTATAGTTCCAAGTTTTTGAAAGTAACTTTTCCAAGAAGAGGGCACTCCAGGGCCTGTAGTGAGGAAGAAACCTGTCTAAAATCTAGCCAAGTTGAGGAGAATTTAAGATTGTGTTAATGAGGATATTTTATACTCTGTGTCCATGAGATATTGATATGCTCAGTCATTTATAAAGAAGGCAAATTCAGCTCCCATGGAAGTATTTTATTTGGGAGAAAGAATAGGAAGAGCTGTTTTAGCTTATACTCTTAGCCATAAAATTACCAAAATGGGTTTAACTTCCTCAGATTGCTTAAAGTTGCTTGCTGGGATTGGAGGTCTTTTTGTCTGGGGACTGACAGTTTTTGAGTTTGGAGAGTTCTCTAGGCCCCCAAGTAAGATAAAATCCTCTGAGCTGAATAGCCTTAGGCAGGGGTTGAGCTTTAAATTCTTGTTACTTGTATTTCAGAGGATCTGGAGTTCAGAGTCTCTGAGGACAAAGGCAAACAATGAAGATAGGAAAGTTGGAAATTAAAGAAAATAATAATCTTAATATATTGTATTTACTCACTGAAATATATTTTAATATATTTTATTTTATTAGTGGGTTGCTTGACCTTTCTTTGCTTCAGTTTCTGAGTTTTTTTAATCTTCTGTAAAATTAAGATAATAAAATTTACTCATTAGAGTCATATGAGGGTAAATGAGACCATACATATAAAAATCAGACTGCTTGGCTTATAGTAAATCTCCAAAACTATTTTATATTGTTCTTATTTCTTGGTGTTTCTTAACTGTCTCTCCAGTAGATTAAATCTCCCTTCAACACAGGAACTGAGTCTTTTTCATCTGTGGATCTCTAGCCCTCCACAGAGCATGTCAAAAGTATTTGTTGACTGAATGATAAGTAAACATTTTACCAGTGGAAGGTATCCAAGTTACTGCCAGCAACTCCATAAGAGTCTATAGTAACCTCAATTCTTGCCTCCTCAGAAGAAAGAATTCGATGGAGGGGCATAAGGCAGAAAAAGAAACGAAGGCAAGTTTCAGAGAAGGAGTGGAAGTTTATTTAAAAGGCTTTAGAACAGGAAAGAAAGGAAAGTACACTTGGAAGAAACCCAAGTGGGCACATGAAGGTCAAGAGTGGTGTTTAACCTTGATCCTAGGACTTTATGGGCTGGCCCCTTTCCCATGATTCTTCCCTTAGGGTGGGCTGCCCACCTGTGCAATGCCCTCTTAATGCTTGGGAGGTGAGCACATGCAATGTGTTTAGGAAGTTGTACAATGCCCATCTGGGGCTTTCTTCCCCTTTCTGGTGGAGTGCCCCTGGAAGGTCATAGTCAGCCACTTTGTCTCTTACTGCACGTGCCCCGGCTCACTCACCCAGTACCTGAGATTTTATTGGAAGTTCCTTTTTGCTTCTCCCTTGTTCCTGCATTCAATTAGCATTTTAATGCAACAGGTGTGGACCACCAGGAAATGGCCTCTCCCTGGTGCCTGCTGCCAATTTATCACTTTTAGAGAGGCAATGTGATAGTTGCCAAACTGTCACCTGACATTCCTAGTGGGTGGGGGTGAGACCTCTCCTGCCCCACTCATGCCTGTCTAACTACCTGTAACAAACTTACAAGCAACACTCAGAACATGTTTTATAGGCTGATGTCCCAAAAACTAAGCTGTTCATCAGAATGATCTACAAATTCTCAACTGCCAGACTGTGCAGGGAGGAACAAGTCATTCAGTGTTACTAGAGCAGAGGTTTAAGGTAAGGAAGTGTGGCACTTGAGGCTTGAGAATTATAAAGGCAGCCATGTATGATATGTTGCTTTTGGATTTTATTCTCTGGTTGGTGGAGTTATGGATGGATTTTAAGCAGGAGGGAGGCCACATGGGGTGTGAGGTAGAGTCTTGGGCCATTCAAAGGTATCTGGTTTAGTGCCAGGCACATGCTGGATTCTCAGAAAATATCTTTTGAATGAATAGGATAGTAAATATGTAATCATTAAAGACAGTAAGAAATAAGGTAGATCTCTATGTGCTGCTGATATGGGAAGATGTTCAACATTACTATTAAGTGAACAAGAGCAACTTCAGACCAGTATATAAAGTATATTTCCATTTGTGTTTGAAAAAATTACATATGTGTTTATTTCTATGTGTGTGTGGTAGACAGTAGGCAGGTGGATGGATGCATGGATACCTAATTTCAACTTTATGTTTCATATAATATGCATCATTTGAATTACCCAAATTGCATGAAATTTTTTGTGATGATGATGATGTTGATGTTGTTGACGATGAAAAAATAAAGAGACTCTCCAGGTAATTATTCAAGTATATAGCCAGATTCTACAATGTAACCTAATGAATTATTATTTACATTTCATTTTGATTGTGACAGGATAAGAGTCAAGACTAGGAAAAAGTGGGAAAGTGACACTGCTTTTTCTTATTGCCATATCCATGTTGTTTCTTATATTATCTTCCTTATTTATAGTTAAAACTGCACTAAACGTAACTTGTCATATAATTTGCTATGCAGACAGTCCTCATTGTTCAACTTATAATTTTTCAACTTTACAATGGTGTGAAAGCAATATGCATTCAGTAGAAGGTGATAAGATACTCTCTCAAGACTCTGAGTAGCAGTGCAGCTCCAAGTCAGCCATTAGGGTAAATGACTGATACTCTACAGTGTACTGTGCTGCCCGATGAATTTGTCCAACTGCAAGCTAATATAAGTGTTCTGATAACATTCAAAGTAGACTAGGCTAAGTTATGATGCTTGGTAGGTTAGGTGTATTAAATACATTTTGACTTACTCAATTTTCAACTTTTGTTGGGTTTCTTGGGACATAACCCCATCGTAAGTCACAGAGCCTCTGTATTGCGATAGGAGTTTAATTTTTTACTTCATTATTGATCAATGAAAAATGTTTCAAATATTTACATTTACAGTGTTGCAGATTTGGTACTCTAATTTCTGATGAAATTTATATTACTTAAAGTTAAAATTTAACATTCAACAATTGTTATATGACAAATCCAGTCTCAACATTATGGTTTTATATTATTATATAGTTACCTTTTTTATTCTTTAAGTATTTCAAGTGTTCTGGCTATGGTTCCTAGTACACATGGGAATAGGCAGAATAATATGAAAGAATATCTGAACATACTCTAAGTTGTACAATAGTGTATGGTATAGCTCATCTGAAAATAATATTTTTCTCCTACAAAATTAGAAAAAGAATAATAATCCAAAATGTTGGCAGTGGACAAGAGAAAGAGGGGTATTTGGGTTTGTATGGAGCATGACATATACAAAGTACAGAAATGAAAATAAAAGTAAAAATCAGGAAATAGCAAAATCATGTTATTTAGGAATATGGAAATGTAGAATCCACAGCAGAAAAACATTCATTATTACTATAAAAATGCAGAACTTTTGGTCGTAATAGGTGAGGGTGTTTTTTTAATTATACTTTAAGTTCTGGGGTACATGTGCAGAACATGCAGGTTTATTACATAGGTATACACGTGCCAAGGTGGTTTGCTGTACCCATCAACCCGTCATCTACATTGGGTATTTCTCCTAATGCAATCCTGACCCTAGCCCCCCACACCCCGACAGGTCCTGGTGTGTGATGTTTCCTTTCCTGTGTCCAAGTGTTCTCATTGTTCAACTCCCACTTATGAGTGAGAACATGTGGTGTTTGGTTTTCTGTCTTGTGTTAGTTTGCTGAGAATGATGGTTTCCAGCTTCATCCATGTCCCTGCAAAGGACATGAACTCATCCTTTTTTATGGCTGCATAGTATTCCATGGTGTAAATGTGCCACATTTTCTTTATCCAGTCTATCATAGATGGGCATTTGGGTTGGTTCCAAGTCTTTGCTATTGTGAACAGTGCCACAACAAACATACATGTGCATTTGTCTTTATAGTAGAATGATTTATAATCCTTTGGGTGTATACCCAGTAATGGGATTGCTGGGTCAAATGGTATTTCTAGTTCTAGATCCTTGAGGAATCGCCACACTCTCTTCCACAATGGTTGAATTAGTTTACAGTCCCACCAACAGTGTAAAAGTGTTCCTGTTTCTCCACATCCTCTCCAGCACCTGTTGTTTCCTGACTTTTTAATGATCACTATTCTAACTGGTATGAGATGGTATCTCATTGTGGTTTTGATTTGCATTTCTCTGATGGCCAGTGATGGCGAGCATTTTTTCATGTGTCTGTTGGCTGCATAAATGTCTTCTTTTGAGAAGTGTCTGTTCATATCCTTCGCTCACTTTTTGATGGGGTTGTTTTTTCCTTATAAATTTGTTTAAGTTCTTTGTAGATTCTGGATATTAGCCCTTTGTTAGATGGATAGATTGCAAAAATTTTCTCGCATTCTGGAGGTTGCCTATTTACTCTAATGATAGTTTCTTTTGCTGTGCAGAAGCTCTTTAGCTTAATTAAATCCCATTTGTCTATTTTAGCTTTTGTTGTCATTGCTTTTGGTGGTTTAGTCATGAAGTCTTTGCCCATGCCTGTGTCCTGAATGGTATTGCCTAGGTTTTCTTCTAGGGTTTTTATGGTTTTAGGTCTTATGTTTAAGTCTTTAATCCATCTTGAGTTGATTTTTGTATAAGGTGTGAGGAAGGGATCCAAACCACTGCTCAAGGAAATAAGAGAGGATACAAACAAATGGAAAAACATTCCATGCTCTTGGATAGGAAGAATCAATATCATGAAATGGCTGTGCTGTCCAAAGTAATTTACAGATTCAGTGCCATCAAGCTACCATTAACTTTCTTCACAGAATTGGAAAAAACTACTTTACTTATTTATTTATTCATTTATTTATTTATTTAACTTTTTTTTTTATTCTTTTTTTTATTATTATACTTTAAGTTCTAGGGTACATGTGCACAACGTGCAGGTTTTTAACATGTGTATACATGTGCCGTGTTGGTTTGCTGCATTCATTAACTCATCATTTACATTAGGTATTTCTCCTAATGCTATCCCTCCCCCATTCCCCCACCCCACGACAGGCCCCAGTGTCTGATGTTCCCTGCCCTGTGTCCAAGTGTTCTCATTGTTCAATTGCCACCTATGAGTGAGAACATGCAGTGTTTGGTTTTCTGTCCTTGCAATAGTTTGCTGAGAATGATGGTTTCCAGCTTCATCCATGTCCCTACAAAGGACATGAACTCATCCTTTTTTATGGCTGCATAGTATTCCATGGTGTATATGTACCACATTTTCTTAGTCCAGTCTATCATTGATGGACATTTGGGTTGGTTCCAAGTCTTTGCTATTGTGAATAGTGCTGCAATAAACATACGTGTGCATGTGTCTTTATAGTAGCATGATTTATAATCCTTTGGTTATATACCTAGTAATGAGATCGCTGGGTCAAATGGTATTTCTAGTTCTAGATCCTTGAGGAATTGCCACACTGTCTTCCACAATGGTTGAACTAGTTTACAATCCCACCAACAGTGTAAAAGCATTCCTATTTCTCCACATCCTCTCCAACATCTCTTGTTTCCGGACTTTTTAATGATCGCCATTCTAACTGGTGTGAGATGGTATCTCATTGTGGTTTTGATTTCCATTTCTCTGATGACCAGTGATGATGAGCATTTTTTCATGTGTCTGTTGGCTGCATAAATGTCTTCTTTTGAGAAGTGTCCATTCATATCGTTTGCCCACTTTTTGATGGGGTTGTTTTTTTCTTGTAAATTTGTTTAAGTTCTTTGTAGATTCTGGATATTAGCCCTTTGTCAGATGGGTAGATTGCAAAAATTTTCTCCCATTCTGTAGGTTGCCTGTTCATTCTGATGGTAGTTTCTTTTGCTGTGCAGAAGCTCTTTAGTTTAATTAGATCCCATTTGTCAATTGTGGCTTTTGTTTTCATTGTTTTTGGTGTTTTAGTCATGAAGTCCTTGCCCATGCCTATGTCCTGAATGGTATTGCCTTGGTTTTCTTCTAGGGTTTTTATGGCTTTAGGTCTAACATTTAAGTCTTTAATCCATCTTGAATTAATTTTTGTATAAGGTATAAGGAAGGGATCCAGTTTCAGCTTTCTCCATATGGCTAGCCAGTTTTCCCAGCACCATTTATTAAATAGAGGTTCCTTTCCCCATTTCTTGTCTTTGTCAGGTTTGTCAAAGGTCAGATGGTTGTAGATGTGTGCTGTTATTTCTGAGGTCTCTGTTCTGTTCCATTGGTCTATATCTCTGTTTTAGTACCAGTACCATGCTGTTTTGGTTACTGTAGACTTGTAGTATAGTTTGAAGTCAGGTAGAGTGATGCCTCCAGCTTAGGATTGTATTGGCAATGCGGGCTCTTTTTTGATTCCATATGAACTTTAAAGTAGTTTGGAAAAAACTACTTTAAATTTAGCTAAGTCAATCCTAAGCAAAAAGAACAAAGCTGGAGGCATCATGCTACCTGACTTCAAACTATACTACAAGGCTACAGTAGCCAAAACAGCATGATACTGGTACCAAAACAGATATATAGACCAATGGAACAGAACAGAGGCCTCAGAAATAATGCCACACATCTACAACCATCTGATCTGTGACAAACCTGACAAAAACAAGCAATGGGGACAGGATTCCCTATTTAATAAATGGTGTTGTGAAAACTGGCTAGCCATATACAGAAAGCTAAAAGAGGGTGTTTTTTATTATAAACATTTTAGACTTATTTTTATCTATGAAAAAATACCGTGGGGATTTATTAAAATATATTACCTGGAATGGGTTAGGGATAATGTTCTAAAAGAAAAAGGAATATGGAGTAGATTATAATGTTTGATAATTGAGAAATGTGTTGGACTAAACAAAACAAAATAGTGAGAGGCATGGAAGTAATTAACTAAATTACACTTCTTTGCATATGCTTCTGTCTACCTGACTTAAAAAGAAGTACTGATTTGAGCTACAGTGTGAATGAACTTTGAGAAACATTATGCCAAGTGAAAGATACCAAACACAAAAGACCATGTGTTGTATGATTCCATTTATAAGAGATGTCCCAAAATGAGCAATTCCCTAGAGACAGGAAATACATTATTTGTTGCCCAAAACTGAGGAAAGGCAGAATGGGGAGTGATTACTAATTGGTATGGAGTTCCTTTTAGGGGTGATGAAAAGATTCTTAAATTAGAGAGTGGTGATGGATACACAACTCTGTTAAGATACTAAAAATCTTGTGCATTTAAAAGGGTGAATTTCGGCCAGGCACGGTGGCTCACGCCTGTAATCCCAACACTTTGGGAGGCCGAGGCACGCGGATCACCAACTCAGGAGATCAAGACCATCCTGGCTAACACGGGGAAACCCTGCCTCTACTAAAAATACAAAAATTAGCTGGGCGTGGTGGTGAGCATCTGTAGTCCCAGCTACTGGAGAGGCTGAGGCAGGAGAATGGCGTGAACCCGGGAGGTGGAGCTTGCAATGAGCCGAGATCGCTCGCCACTGCACTCCAGCCTGGGCGACAGAGTAAGACTCCGTCAAAAAAACAATAAAAAGAGGCGAATTTCGTGATATATGAATTATATCTCAATTTAAAAAATTGTTTTGTGACTGTGTCTGCCCAGAAGAGGTTGTATAAGAGAAGACATGTAACCTATAACTCAATCCATGGGAACTGCACTTGAAAAAGAAAGCAACTCATATGGTCTGCGTTTTTCCCATTGGCTGGCTCTGTGCCTCTAGGTCACTAGATAATCACTCAAGTGTACTTGTTACCTAACCTGGGTGCAAGCCTGATGGATAGCGACAACAGCAACCACAAAAATCCAGTGAAGGAGTTTTGCAAAACTCAGTTCAGAGGGTCGTGATATGTGTATGGGTGGAGGGTGGTGGATGAGGGTGAGTGTGTGTGTTTTCTTTTTCCATTAATTGGCACGGATCTTATATTGCAAAAGGCTTGTATTCCAGTAAATGAATGTGTAGATAGCAGATGTTGCTGCTTCAGAATCACTCACCATGAGGCCTGGGATATATACTTTTATACACAACACTTTTTGTTTCTAATATACAAGCCAAGATGTGAACAAGTTTCTTAAACAATCCAGAGAATTACATCTATTTTCCACTTCACTTTGTCCAAGTAGACACACATAAACAATGGTGAGCATGGGATAAGGAGGTAATAATTCAGTCAGCCTTTGCAATGACAGTCTATGACAGTGACTTGCTGCTTTGGAAAATGTGTCCCTTAGTCTGGTTAATTAAAATGGTTTAATATAAAGCAAAAAATAAATAATGGATTAACTAAATTGGAACTTTTATTGAAGCCCAGGCTGTTCTATCTTTATTATTATTATTATTATTATTTATTTGAGACAGAGTCTCGCTTTGTTGCCCAGGCTGGAGTGCAGTGGTGCAATCTTGGCTCATTTCAACCTCCACCTCCTGGATTCAAGTGATTCTCCTGCCTCAGCCACCAGAGTAGCTGGGACTGCAGGTGCCTGCCACCACGCCCAGCTAATTTTTGTATTTTCAGTAGACGTGGGGTTTCACCATGTTGGCCAGGCTGGTCTCGAACTCCTGACCTCAAATGATCCACCCACCTTGGCCTCTCAAAGTTCTGGGATTACAGGCATGAGCCACTGCGCCCAGCCCGTCTATATTTTATTACTGAAAAATGTAGCCACATAGTTTGTATTTTTTTTTCAAGGGTTACTATTCCTGCCCTCACAATAGGAGATTCTCTACAGGGCACCCAGGTCGAACAGACTATAGTTTAAGTTTTTGTGTTATTATAGAGTCCTATATGCTTTTTAGTTTTCTACTTTTCAGATGTGTACAGCTCCTATCTGCACATTCTATTATGATCACTGCACGCATTTTGAGGACAGAACCCTGCAAGCCTGAGTGCCTTTAACTTCCAACAAGATTTATGTGTGTGTCCCTCTTGTGTACTATGTGCAAAGTTAAGCCAGTCAATTACTTTTCTGTTAGTCTTTTGTTCTTGCTCATTCTCCTCTGGAGATATACTATTTCTGTAAAATACTCTTTTATTATCATCTCCACTTCAGTGTATCCCCTCAAGCATAAGTTCTGGGAAGGAAGGAAAAGGTTATATCTCATTGTTCTGTATAACATGTGCCTAAGGTTTACTTTGGGCTGCTTGTAACCTCATGCTGGTGTTAAACAGATCCTAAGTGTACCTGTTCCAATACCTAGTTTATTTTTACCCTAAGGTGCGTTTGCTTCAGCAAATTTTAAGAACCTACTTGGAATTGGTTTTGATATTTTGAACTGTACAGACACCGTTTTCTTTCATTATATGTAACACACATAGTGTCCATGATTGTGGAATATTAGTGTAATATAATTTTACTGTGCTTGGTAAGAACATCTTAGAAATGAACAATAATGTTGAAATATGGGCCAAACATTTGAAAAACCTTCCAGACTTAATCAGTCTTGTCTTGGGGCTCTCTGTACAGTGAAATTCCAGGTTTAAAAAAATACTATTTCACAAAAGACCCTTGCTATTTGCAAGGATGGTGATTTGAAACCATGACTCTTCTAAATTGTAAATGACATTAAAAATAGGTCACTTAAGGAGCCTGACAAAATAGTGTTGTGCTGTGACCCAAGGTGGTGCTTCTAGTTTTCTACTGGGCTGCTAATAGAGCGGGCTGGACTTTCCTATTCTTGCATATTATGTTCTGCTCTTTGCTATTCCTCGGTGAAATCAGAAAGCTTAGTGCATCATTATTCCAAAATAGAAAAGTCATTCCATTCTTTGACATAAACACACAGTCTCTCTTTTCCACTTACATTTAAATGTTCACAAATGAATTTCTTTCCATTATAGTTGTTTCATCTTGTTTGACTTCTTTTTTGGATTCACAAATCTCTCCACCAAGCTCACAGTAAACATGAAAGTGCTATTAGAGAGGACAAATCTCTCCACCAAGCTCACAGTAAACATGAAAGTACTATTAGAGAGGAATGGAATAGCTTCTAAAACCTCTCAGAGAAGGCTTTTCAGAGGAAGCACCAGTAGAGATGTCCCTTTAAGAGGTGCCTGTGTCAAAATAAACAGGCAAAGGGAAGTACAATCTCAAAGTCGATATACTTTACTGGAAAGAAAACTCTTTATTAGGCCCACATCTGAGTCTGGTACTTTAGTGCCTGGTACTTGACCACGGCTGAACACTGGGATCACTTGGAGAACTTTAATTAATACTGGTCCCAGCTCTAGGTTATCTAATTTAACATATTCAGGGAAAGGTCTAGGTATCAGAACTCTTAAACCTTCTCTGGTGATCTTAATGGGCAAAGTTAGAAGCTGCATGGTTCCCTTAGTTGTGGTTTCCCATTCTATAGATGATTAGAAACAGGGTATCTGGCTGCGTGCTGGACATGTGGACAGTACATATCCTCAGGTGTCTCTCCTGCAAAAAAAGTATGCCAGCTTAAACCTGACCTTCCTGATATATCATCTCATCATCTACTGAACCCCATCCACTTTTTAAAGAAATCCATGCAATCATTCAAAAAATATTGGAGAAGCCACCATGTCTCTGGCTCCAAATCTTTCTGTCTGAACTAGTTTCCTTACTCTGTGATGCATCCCTGTTTAAATCCCATCAGAGGCTTCATTTGCCCATGGGTAAAGTCAAAGACAGCATATAATCCACAGCTACCTTTGTAACTCTTAAGTCTCAAGTCCTACCATTTGCTGCCTAAATGGGCTTTAGTAATACTGAGAAGTTTGTTGTTCTGTGTGCATACCATGCTACTTCAGGCTTCACAGAATTTACCTTTCCTATCTTCTATCCCACTAGCTACCTTTCATCTGGCTAGTTCCTATCCACATCAAGGCTCAGATCAGCCGCTAACTTTTCTGAGAGTAATTCTCTGAACCCCCATGCCACTGAGGATTTCTTGTTGTATACCTTCAGCAAAGCACTTTTATTTTAAAACTGTCTGACTCCACTTATGCGTCTCCTCTGGACTGTAAGCTCATAAAAGGCATATCTTCATCATCTGCATATGCCCATTTCCTAGTACTCAATGCATTCACATGATGGTTTTCTTCAAATGAACTGATCTGGGATATGGCATATCAGGATGCTTCTAATTAAGTGATATTGAAGGTCGAAGGAAGTTAGAGCTAACAGTTTGGCAGCAAGGGAAGAAACAGAGGAACTCAGAAGTCAGCGATGGGAAGTGACCATGTAAGAGTGGCTGCGTGCTTCAGTTATCACATAGGACACGACCATGCTATGACTCAGCACAATCAATCACTGATGTGAATAATAATGACTCCAGGTCAATTTGAAAAAGTTAAATGCACCCATAAGATGTAGTTTAAAAATTAAAATGAGCATAAATGTATAAATGCATTTCAACCAAATCAATTAAAAAGGAAGAGGAATTCTATGGAAATTTTGCTTGTGAGGGAAAGATACATCATTCTGTAAATGCTAGGTAAATTATATAATGTATTTTATTACATTATAATACAACAGCATCAATTTCTATTTTTACATGTGTTTATAGCCAGAGAAAGTTTCTAGCCATAGCCAGATAAGGTGATGTCACTAACTCAGATCCATTATTTATTCTCAAACTTTAAAAAAAAAAATGCTGCTCATTATCCCTAATGTCATTGATCCACACAGAACCAGGTTGTGAAATAGAATAAGATAAAATGATTGACCACTGGGAAGATTTATTCCAACGCTGTTGCCTGTGAATTTCTCCTCCAAATACACAGGCTTGAAAATAATTAGTTTCCAATTTAGGATGTTCATAAATGAGCATATGTAGCACCTGTAAGAAACACCTCTGTTTTCCATCTCAAGCTTTCAGGGAATAATATAATTCACATATGTACTTTGCATTTTGGTTGCCATAATAAGTCTTCTGCAGATGTTAGAAACAGCTAAATAATTAATTTTAGTTCTGATCCCTCATCTGAAAAATGGAGATAATAATGAGGTTTTTACTAACCATAAACAGGGCTTCTTGCAATAATCTAAGACAATATATATATTTGAAAGATCTTTATAAATTGTAGAGTATTTGTTAGCAATAGTAATTTAGTGATTTTACAAAACAATGCATTACACTGTCATGAATATTAGTGTTTTTAAAATAGTGCAAAACAAGCAGTATTTTAATGTAAATTCTAATTAATTCAATTTAACAAATATTTGGTTATGCGTTCTAAGCATAAAGCATTGTGGTTGCTGTAGATGGAGATGGAGGGTAGAAATATATGGACTCTGTTCTAATTTGGGTATAAGATATATAAATAATCTCTAAGAACAAAAGGTAGAATGATAGAAGCTGCAATTATGAAACCAAAGTGTGCTATGTTAAGGATGATCTTTATATTTGGATGATCAAGGGATAATTTATTAGACAACTGGATTTTATAAGTAGAAATGGTAGTCAAAGAACATTCCAGGATGAGAGAGTAACAGATGTGAAGCCCACAAGGGAAAAGGCATCCACAATACAACTAAGGCCCTGAAATGGCTGGAGTGTAGAGGGAGAGGGGGTATTTAAACAGTCATGGTCTTAAATGTCACAGCAAGAGATCTGAATATTATGCCATGGAGAATGTTGAGCAATTTAAGTTTTTGAGCATGAGTTGTAGGATTGCAGCAGTGTTTTGGGAATCAATTTCTAATGATAGAAATGAGTACACTGTAATGGAGATTAAATAAAATTCAAGACTTCACTTCTCTGTTTGTGTCTGCGTAGTTTTTCTAGGATCATTGTTACTAACCTGTTCTTTTTTTTCTTTCTTAGACTAAGGAAAACTGTTTGTAAGATTAGTAGAAAATCAAACTGTGAGCATAGGCTTTCTAAAGCACACTTGGATTTAAATTTTATTTCCAAAGTTTACCTGCTGGGTGCTCTTGGGAAAATTATTCAACCTGTTCAAGTTTCTGTTTTGTTCTGGTAAAATAGAGATCATAATAAATACCTCAGAGAATCATTGTCCTAATTGAGATATCCTTAACACACTGTCTAGCTTGTGATAAATGTTAAATTGTCTAGCATGTGATAAATGTTAAATTAATAGCAGCTTTTTAAAATACACCATTGGTATATAAAAGTGAATATTTATAGTTAATATAAAATATTTAGTCATATTGTATTCAGGAAAATCAGCAGAATTTTAATTAATCATTTGTATTTTTTTAATTCCCCCTTTTTCATTGCTGGAAATAGGAAAATAAAAATTCAGGAATGTGGTCTCAGCCTCCTTGTGGTCCCACTTAAATGCAAATAAGTTACCACTAGGTAACTTACTAGGGCTTCCACAGTAACCACGTTCTAAAAATCTGTGATCACTACACTTGCTGAATTGGACATATCTTCATAAAGTAGGTAACAGCCTTTCTGCGTGTTTAAATGGTAAAGGTCCTGTGTTTTCTTTTTAGTAGTGTGTGTCTGCAGAGACATCCTAATGTAGTCTAGGTGCAGGAGTTGAAGGCAGCAGTATGGAAGGAAGTCTTTATCTATAAAGATAGTTGTCAGGGTATCACTACTTTGTTAAATTTTTTTATACTTAGGATGTGGGCTTTATCCTAGCAGGGAGAGAGACTGGGTCTTATATCTATACCCAGCATTCATTCAGTACCCCAACTTTTAGTATACTAATATTACTTGGGATGGATATATGAGCCCAAATGCCACCTTAGTACTTTCTACTGAGTGCAAGTCATGCACACATCTCGAGTTCAGATTCCCTTCCTCTTGATGTCAAAGCACCTGGGAAGGAAACACTTTAATGAGAAGATTGCCTGGTGACTATTCAGTTAAAGCCAAAAGAAGTGGCACATCTAAATGCATAATTCATTCAAGTGGTCAAGGTTGATAAAACGTACCTGGTCAAAGTTGATAAAACAACAGCACACTTCTCTGTGGTGACAAAAAAGCTTATAACCCTCAGATCTGTGATTTCTGACTTGCACACACATGTTGCTCCTGCGTGTTTTCTCTTAACCCTCTCTTTCTGGGTTCCATTGCTAAGCGAGCTATTTTTTATGGACTATGTTTATATCACCTTTTTAGCTATTTAGCTATTCCCAGCCTTGGAGACAGTCTGTCCTCCAGTTTTATGCAGGTTGAGCTACTGTATTTCCTTGAGTCTACCATTACAACTACTATTACCAGTAGTGACATGTATCCTGAATTCAGAAACTCTAAAGTATATGTAAAGCAGGAGCTGTTGGGGGAGGGAGGATTATGAAAGTAGTGCAGGAGTGTTTCTAGGGCTTCTACTAAGTGGGTTTGCACAAGTGGTAAATTTCATGCACGTCCGTGTGAACAGACCACCAAACAGGCTTTGTGTGAGCAACATGGCTGTTTATTTCACCCGGGTGCAGGCGGACTGAGTCCGAAAAGAGAGTCAGTGAAGGGAGATAGGGGTGGGGCCGTTTTATAGGATTTGGGTAGGTAAAGGAAAATTACAGTCAAAGGGGGGTTGTTCTCTGGCAGGCAGCAGTGGGGGTCGCAAGGTGCTCAGTGGGGGTGCTTTTTGAGCCAGGATGAGCCAGGAAAAGGACTTTCACAAGGTAATGTCATCACTTAAGGCAAGGACTGGCCATTTACACTTCTTTTGTGGTGGAATGTCATCAGTTAAGGTGGGGCAGGGCATATTCACTTCTTTTGTGATTCTTCAGTTACTTCAGGCCATCTGGGCGTACATGTGCAAATCACAGGGGATGCCATGGCTTGGCTTGGGCTCAGAGGCCTGACATTCCTGCCTTCTTACATTAATAAGAAAAATAAAACAAAATAGTGTTGAAGTGTTGGGGCGGCAAAAATTTTTGGGTGGTGGTATGGAGAGAGAATGGGCGATGTTTCTCAGGGCTGCTTCAAGCGGGATTAGGGGTGACGTGGGAACCTAGAGTGGGAGAGATTAAGCTGAAGGGAGGCCTTGTGGTAAGGGGTGATATTGTGGGGATGTTAGAAGAAACATTTGTCATATAGAATGATTGGTGATGGCCTAGATATGGATTTGGATGAATTGAGAAACTAAATGGAATAAAGGAAGGAGAAAAACAGGTATAAAAGGTCTAAGAATTGGGACGACTCAGGATATCTGATTAGAGAGTGCCTAAGGAGATTCAGCATAGTCCTGCCAGCAAAGATTATTTATTTACTTCAAGAGTTAAGAGTGGCAGTTTGGGGATAGCACCAGGAGATATCAGCTGTGATGGCATGGAAAAACAGTGTAAACCGGCAGTGTAAACAAGAGCAGGGCATGTATGAGTAGTTGAGAATGGTGAATAGGAGTATGACTAGACAGAAGATAGTAGGGATGACAAGTTTTTTGCGGCACAGTGTAAGTTGGTCTGGTGTCTGGAATGAGACTGGGGCCTAATAAAAAGGAGTGTCTATACAGGAGCTCAAATGCGCTGTACCCTGCAGCATTCCGAGGACAGGCCTGAATTCTGAGAAGGGAAAGTGGTAAAAGTATTGTCCAGTCCTTTTTAAGTTGGTGGCTGAGTGTGTTTTTAAAAGACCTTTAGTCCATTCTACTTTTCTTGAAGACAGAGGACCATAAGGGACATAAAGGTTTCACTGAATACTAAGAGCCTGAAAAACTGCTTGGCTGATTTGACTAATAAATGCTTGTCTGTTATCAGACTGTATTGAGGTGGGAAGGCTAAACTGAGGAATTATGTCTGACAGAAGGGAAGAAATGACTGCGGTGGCCTTCTCAGACCCTGTAGGAAAGGCCTCTACCTATCCAGTGAAAGTATCTACCTAGACTAAGAGGTATTTTAGTTATCTGACTCAGGGCATGTTGAGTAAAGCTAATTTGCCAGTCCTGGGTGGGGCAAATCCTTGAGCTTGGTGTGTAGGGAAGGAAGGGGGCCTGAATAATCCCTGAGGAGTACTAGAATAGCAGATGGAACACTGAGAAGTTATTTCCTTGAGGATCGATTTCCACGATGGAAAGGAAATGAGAGGTTCTAAGAGGCAGGCTAGTGGCTTGTACTATAGCATAACCTGCCTTTGCTGGTGTGTGGTGATTAGGCCTGGTGGAACCGCCAACAATAAATCAAGCGTGATCAGGGTGAGGAAGAGGAAAGAAGGAAATTTGGGGAAATGGGGTGAATGTCAGATGGATCAGAGAGATACAGTCATGGGGGTCAGGTGTGGTATCAGGAATAACGTGGGAGGCCGGATTGAAGTCTGGGCCAGGAACAACGGTAATTGTGGGAGACTCAACAAAGAGTGGGTACAGCTGAAGGAGCCGGGGAGCAGAAAGTATGTGCGTCAGGTATGAGGAAGAAAATAGATTTTGGAAGTTATGAGAACTGTAGAGAGTGAGTTGAGCATAGTTTGTGATTTTGAGGGCCTCTAAAAGTATTAAAGCAGCGGGAGCCGCTGCACGCAGACATGAGGGCTAGGCTAAAACAGTAAGGTCAAGTTGTTTGGACAGAAAGGCTACAGGGTGCGGTCCTGGCTCTTGTGTAAGAATTCTGACCACGCTAACCATGCCTAGGAAGGAAAGGAGTTGTTGTTTTGTAGAAGGTGCTTGGGTTTGAGAGATTAGTCGGACATGATTGGCAGGGAGAGCACGTGTGTTTTTATGAGAATTATGCTGAGATAGGTAACAGATGAGGAAGAAATTTGGGCTTGATTGAAGTAATAGGGGCTGTCTGTGAAGCTTTGCGGCAGTACAGCCTAGGTAACTTGCTGAGCTTGATGGGTGTCAGGGTCAGTCCAAGTGAAAGTGAAGAGAGGCTGGGATTAAGGGTGCAAAGGAATAGTAAAGAAAGCATGTTTGAGATCTAGAACAGAATAATAGGTTATAGAGGCAGGTACTGAGGATAGGAGAGTATATGGGTTTGGCACTACGGGGTGGATAGGCAAAACAATTTGGTTGATAAGGCGCAGATCCTGAACTAACTTGTAAGGCTCGTCCGGTTTTAGGACAGGTAAAATGGGGGAATTGTAAGGAGAGTTTATAGGCTTTAAAAGGCCATGCTGTAGCAGGCAAGTGATAACAGGCTTTAATCTTTTTAAAGCATGCTGCGGGATGGGATATTGGCGTTGAGTGGGGTAAGGGTGATTAGGTTTTAATGAGATGGTAACGGGTGCATGATTGGTCGCCAAGGAGGGAGTAGAGGTATCTTATACTTGTGGGTTAAGGTGGGGGGATACAAGAGGAGGACGCAAAGGAGGCTTTGGATTGGGAAGAAGGGCGGCAATGAGATATAGCTGTAGTCCAGGAATAGTCAGGGAAGCAGACAATTTAGTTAAAGTGTCTCAGCCTAATAAGGGAACTGGGCAGGTGGGGATAACTAAAAAGGAGTGCTTAAAAGAGTATTGTCTAAGTTGGCACCAGAGTTGGGGAGTTTTAAGAGGTTTAGAAGCCTGGCCGTCAATACCCACAACAGTTATGGAGGCAAGGGAAACAGGCCCTTGAAAAGAAGGTAATGTGGAGTGGGTAGCCTCCGTATTGATTAAGAAGGGGACGGGCTTACCTTCCACTGTGAGAGTTACCGGAAGCTCGGCGTCTGTGATGGTCTAGGGGGCTTCCGAGGCGATCAAGCAGTGTCAGTCTTCAGCCGCTAAGCCGAGAAGATCTGGGAAGGAGTCAGTCAGCCTTGGGCCAGAGTTCCAGGGGCTCTGGGAGTGGCTGCCAGGTGAGTTGAACAGTCCGATTTTCAGTGGG
Organism: Homo sapiens; assembly: GCF_000001405.40. NCBI lineage: Eukaryota > Metazoa > Chordata > Mammalia > Primates > Hominidae > Homo > Homo sapiens. Next base: position 52,037,142 of record NC_000010.11, read on the forward strand.
GTCCCACACAGATGGGACACGGCTTAGGAGGAATCCCGGGCTGCAGGCATTCCTTGGCCCAGTGGCCAGATTTCTGGCACATGTAGCAAGCTCCTGTGGGAGGAGGTTCTGGAGGAGCCTGGCCGCTGCGGTTCAGGCATTTGGAAGTTCCTGTGTGCTGGAGATGTGGCTGGGGTTTGTCTCACAGTGGAGGCAAGGAATTGCAACATTTTTCTATTATTGTACACCTTGAAGGCGAGGTTAATTAAATCCTGTTGTGGGGTTTGAGGGCCGGAATTTAATTTTTGGAGTTTTATTTAATGTCTGGAGCAGATTGGGTAATAAAATGTATTTTGAGAATAAGACGGCCTTTTGACCTTTTAGGGTCTAGGGCTGTAAAGTGTCTCAGGGTTGCTGCCAAACAAGTCATGAACTGGGCTGGATTTTTATATTTGATGAAAAAGAGCCTAAACGCTATCTGATTTGGGATAAAGAAAAAGGAGCATTAAAGTTGACTATGCCTTTGGCTCCAGCCACCTTTTTAAGAGTAAATTGCTGGGCAGGAGGGGGAGGGCTAGTCATGGAACGAAACTGTAAGCCAGACCAGGTGTGAGGAGGGGAGGTGATGAAAAGATTATAGGGTGGAGGAGCAGAGGCTGAGGAAGAATTGGGACCTAGCTCGGCCTGGCGAGGAGCAGCCTGGGGAGGAAGGGAGAGGTCAGATGGATCTGTAGAAAAGGAAGATTAGAAAGACTCAGCGATGCTTGGGGTTGGTACTGAGGGGACAGGCGGGAGGGAAAGAAGGAAGATTTGGGATGAGTGGCACTGGGCACAGAGACTAGGAAGGGACTGATGTGTAAAAGAATGCCTGGACGTCAGGCACCTCAGACCATTTGGCTATTTTACGACAAGAATTACTTAGATCTTGCAGGATGGAAAAATTCAAAGTGCCATTTTCTGGCTATTTGGAACTACTGTCGAGTTTGTATTGGGGTCAAGCAGCATTGCAGAAGAAAATAAGGCATTTAGGTTTTAGGTCAGGTGTGAGTTGAAGAGGTTTTAAGTTTTTGAGAACACAGGCCAAGGGAGTAGAAGGAGGAATGAAGGGTGGAAGGTTGCCTATAGTGAAGGAAGCAAGCCTAGAGAAAAGAGAGAGTAGAGAAACTGAGGGAAGGGGTTCGGGGGTTCTTACCTTCCAGAAAAGTGGGAAAAGAGGTTGGGGCGCAGAGATAAGAGGTCGGGGCATGGAAATAAGGGATGAAGCACAGAAATAAGGGGTAGGGGCACGGAAATAAGGGGTCGAGCATGGAAATAAGGGATTGGGGCACAGAGATATAAGAGGTTGGGGCGCGGAAATAAGGGATTGGGGCACAGAGATACGAGGTTGGGGTACTTGCCCATCCTCTAGAAAAGCGGGACTTGCCGCTAAGAGTGAAGGAGAAGGGGTTGAGGGGTACTTGCCCCTCCCCCAGAAAAGCAGAGAAGGGGTAGAGACAAGGAGAGAAGGGGTTGAGGTACTTGCCCCTTTCCCAGAAAAGTGGGACTTGCTGCTAAGGGTGAAGGACCAAGGCAGGCGTCCCTGCGTGGTCTGACACCTTTGAAACGTGGGTGAATAATCAGAGAGGCGTCCCTGCAATGATAAAACACCAGGGGAAGGCTGCCTTCCCAGTCCGTGACCAGCGCCGGAGTTTTGGGTCCACGGATAAAAACATGTCTCCTTTGTCTCTCCCAGAAAATGAAAGGAATTGAAATTAAGAGAAGGGAGAGATTGAAGAGTGGAAAGAAGAAAGTGGTTGAGGGACAGTGAGAGAGGTTGGAGAAGAGAGTAAGAAGAGGCCGCTTACCTGATTTAAAATTGGTGAGATGTTCCTTGGGCTGGTCAGTCTGAGGACCTGAGGTCGTAGGTGGATCTTTCTCGTGGAGCAAAGAACAGGAGGACAGGGGATTGATCTCCCAAGGGAGGTCCCCCGATCCGAGTCACGGCACCAAATTTCATGCACGTCCGTGTGAAGAGACCACCAAACAGGCTTTGTGTGAGCAACATGGCTGTTTATTTCACCCGGGTGCAGGCGGACTGAGTCCGAAAAGAGAGTCGGTGAAGGGAGATAGGGGTGGGGCCATTTTATAGGATCTGGGTAGGTAAAGGAAAATTAGTCAAAGGGGGGTTGTTCTCTGGCAGGCAGCAGTGGGGGTCGCAAGGTGCTCAGTGGGGGTGCTTTTTGAGCCAGGATGAGCCAGGAAAAGGACTTTCACAAGGTAATGTCATCACTTAAGGCAAGGACTGGCCATTTACACTTCTTTTGTGGTGGAATGTCATCAGTTAAGGTGGGGCAGGGCATATTCACTTCTTTTGTGATTCTTCAGTTACTTCAGGTCATCTGGGCGTACATGTGCAAATCACAGGGGATGCGATGGCTTGGCTTGGGCTCAGAGGCCTGACAGTAAACATATTGAAATGCTACTGTACCAGTTAGTACGTATCCTCTGCTAGTAACCCTCTGACTGCCACCTCAGCTCATTCCTGAGGCCTCTAAACCACACCATAACCTAGGAAGGGACCTAGGACCCTGTGCAGCCTGTGTTCTTTCTGACTGGTTAGTGCCCTTAAACTGCTACTTATTAAATATTCTGTATACTATATTTGGTATTAGCTCTGGAAAATACACTAATTTCACTTTCTGGGGAAAAAAATCCTTTTCTTCCTTTGTCTCCTAATTTTTGAGAAGCACTCAAGTCTCACCAGTGCACTGCTTCTGAGGAGTTATATGGCATACTGCAGAATAAAAAAGGGGGCAAAATCCTAAATGACTCTACCTTCAGCTCTGAACAAGACTACTCTCAGACAAGCCTAGACAGAAACAAAAAATCCTTACCATAAGAACCACATCCTCCAATGTGTGAGGAGCCCTTTTCTCCCTCATGTAATTTAATTCTCTCTTTCCATTCTTTATTGACCTCAAGCACTCAAGATGCCCTTTAAACTCAATAGTGCCTTCTCAAAGAGAAAGGTTAAGTGTTTATTTTAAACTCCTAAAGAAGTAAAATATTGAGTAAATTCTACATACATTTGACCTGCTCCACTATTTTTGCTATAGGGTTCATGAGAAACTGTGATCAACCTGCTCTTTTTCTTTTTGAGTACTGGATTTATTTTGGTAGAAACTTCAATACATATTTATACTTCAGATGGTGACTCTGAAACACTAAATTGTGTGATTCCCTGTAACACATTTCATAATCTGTCGGGGCAAACTATTTTCAAGTTCTGCTGAAGCTAATTGCCTTTGTAAATCAAATTGTTAAATTTGAATTATAGTTTAATTAGGTGGAGTAGAATGCTTGCTGGTCTACTCTATAAACAGTTTTATTCTGTTGTCAAATGAATAGGTCTGAAATGAACTAAGTTTAAAATAGATTTTTGGTGTTTTGTGGGCCTGCTTTGATATTACTCTTAGTCGTTATATTATGTTAGTATATTTGCATCAGAAATCTCTGAAAGGAAATGGGAACAGTTTGACTTCCTCCTTTCCAATTTGGATGACTTTTGTTCCTTTCACTTGCTAATTGCTCTGGCTAGGACTTTCAGTATTGTATTGAACAGAAGTGGTGAAAGTGGGCATCCCTATCTTATTCTGGATCTTGGAAGGAAAGCTTTTAACTTTTTCTCGCTTAAGTATGATGTTAGCTGTGAGTTTGTCATAAATGGCTTTTCTTTTTTTTTTTTTTTTTTTTTGAGATGGGAGTCTTGCTTTGTCACCCAGGCTGGAGTGTTGTGGCATGATCTTGGCTCACTGCAACCTCCACCTCCTGGGTTTAAGCAATTCTCCTGCCTCAGCCTTCTGAGTAGCTGGGATTACAGGCGCCCGCCACCATGCCCTGCTTATTTTTTTGCATTTTTAGTAGAGACGAGGTTTTACCATGTTGGCCAGGCTAGTTTTGAACTCCTGACCTCAAGTCATCTGCCCACCTCGGCCTCCCAAAATGCTAAGATTACAGGTCTGAGTCACCACTTGTACTGAGGTACATATCTTCTGTGCCTAATTTGTTTAGAGTTTTTATCATCAAATTGATGTTGAATTTTGTCAAATGCTTTTTCTGTGTTTATTGAAATGATCACATGGTTTTTATCCTTAATTCTGTTAATGTGATGAATCACTTTTATTGATTGACAATGTTGAACCATCCCTGCATCCTTTGGATGAATCCCACCTGATCATGGTGAATTATTTTTAAAGTGCTGTTGAATTCAGTTTGCTAGTATTTTGTGGAGGGTTTTTGCATCTATGCTCATCCAGAATGTTGGCCTATAGTTTGTCATTTTTATTGTTGTGGTCTTGACTGGTTTTGCTATCAGAGTAATGCTGGCCTTGTAGAATGAACTTGGAAGAATTCCCTTCTCTCCAGTTATCTGGAATGGTTTGAAAGGAATTAGTATAGTTCTTTAAATGTTTGGTAGAAGTCAGCAGTGAAGCCATCAGGTCCCATGCTTTTCTTAGACGGGAGATTGGTTATCATGATTTAATCTTGTTAGTAGTTATTGGCCTGTTTATATTTGCTATTTTTTAATGACTGAATCTTCGTAAGTTGTATGTGTCCAGGAATTTATACATTTCTTCTAGGTTTTCCAATTTTTTGATATATAATTATTCATAATAATTTCTTGTGATCTTAAATATGTAAAACCCTAAGAGTCCTTCAGAAATTCTTAGAATTAATGAGTAAATTTACTAAAATTTCAGTATACAAAATCAATATATTTAAATTGGTAGCTTTTCCATAAATTAACAGTGAACTATCTAAAAAAGAAATAAAGAAATCTCATTTATATAATAATAGCTTCACACACACAAAAATTAGATACCTAGGAATAAATTTAACCAAGGAGGTGAAGCAAGATCTCTACACTAAAAACTATAAAGCACTGATGAAAGAAATTAAAGAGAACAGAAGTAAACAGAAGGATATTCTGTGTTCATGGATTAGAAAATTAATATTGTTATATTAAATATTGTTGAAATGCCCATCTACCCAAAGTGATATGCAGATTCAATGTACTTTCTCTCAAAATACTAAGGGCATTCTTTGCAGAAATAGAAAAATCAATACTAAAAATTGATATGGAACCATGGAAGACCCTGAATAGCCAAAGCAATCTTAAGCAAAAAGAACAAAGCTGGAAGCATCACACTACCTGACTTCAAAATACACTAACAAGCTATAGTAACCAAAACACATGGTACTAGCATAAAAACGGATACACAGATGAATGAACAAAATAGAAAGCCCAGAAATAAATCCACATATCAACAGCCAACTGATTTTCAACAAAATGCCAAGAGCACACATTGGGGAATGAACAGTCTCTTCAATAAATGGTCCTGGAAAAACTGGATATCCACATGCAGAAGAATGAAACTAGATCCCTATCTCTCACCATATGCAAAAATGAACTTCAAATGGATTAAAGACTTAAACATAAGACCCAAAACTATGAAAGTACTAGAAGAACATATAAGGGAAATGCTTCATTACATTGATCTGGGCAATAATTTTTTAGTAAAACCTCAAAAGCACAGGCAACAAAAGCAAAAATAAACAAATGAGATTATGTCAAACTCAAAAGCTTCTGCCCAGCAGGGGAAACAATCAACATAGTGAAGAGACAGCCTGCAGAATGGGAGAAAATATTCTCAAATTATACATCCAACTGGGCATTAATGTCTGGTCTATGTAAGAAACTCAAACAATCCAACAGCAATAAAAAAACAAATAACTTGATTTAAAAATGGGCTAAAGATCTAAATAGTCATTTCTCAAAGGAAGATTTAGAAATGGGTAACAGGTATATAAAAAATGTTTTTATCACTAATTATCAGGGAAATGTGAATCAGAACCATGATGAGATTTCACCTCACTCCAGTTAGAATTGCTGTTATCTAAAAGATAAAAGAAAACAAGTATTAGTGAGTATGTGGATAAAAAGGAATCTTATTCTTTGTAGGAATGTAAACTAGTACATTTATATGGAAAACAGTATGGAGGTTCCTCAAAAAATTAGAAATAGAGCTGTCCTATGATTCAGTAAATTCACTATGGGGTATAAATCCAAAGGAAATGAAACCATGTATTGAAGTGATATCTGGACTTCGGTGTTTATTGCAGCACTATGAAAGATATGAAATCATACCTTGGCTATTGTAAATAGTGCTGCAATGAAGGAATGGATTAAAAATGTGGAATATATACACAATGAAATACTTTTTAGCTCTAAAAAATAAAATCCTGGCATTTGTGACAACATGGATAAATCTGGAGGACATTAAGTGAAATAAGTCAAACATAAAAAGCTACATACTGCATGATCTCACTTATATGTGAAATGTAAAATTTTGTTTCATAAAAACAGAGAGTAGAATATTGGTTACCAGGAGCTGGAGAGGGTAGGAGAAAGGGAGGGATGGGGAAAGATACAAAGTGACAGTTAGAGAGGAAAAATAAGTTTTGGTATTCTATTTCACATTTTAGGTAAAAATAATATATATTTCAAAATAGCAAAAAGAGGATTTGCATGTTGTCACCACAAAGAAATGATAAACATTTATGGTAATAGACTGCTAATTACCCTGATTTGAACATTACACATGTATATATATGTATTGAAACATCACATTTTACTTCATAAATATGTACAATTATACATCAATTAAAAGAAAAACTTAAAAAATTTTGGAAAAAAAAACCAAGGATTGAAAATCCATTAAGTAAACAGTGTCATTGAAGAGCCCAGTTAAACATAGAAAAAAAAAAAAAACCCAAGCATTTGTGGAATTTCAGCCCAGGTTATCCCTTTCTTTGTCTGATATTCAGGGTAAGGATTCAGATAGTCCAGGCAGCCAGTGCTAGGTCAACAGTTGTCTTTGAATCATAAACTCTGAAGGTGTTCAAGAGGCTTAAAAGATAATGATGTGCTCTAACCACCAAAGACACAAAGAACTCAAAAATATTTGAGATTCAAAGAAAGAAACCAGCAGTGCCAGTTGTACAAAAGCCTATGTAGTCATCTTGCACTGTGAGAAGTGCTAAAAGTTAGTGTGGAAAATTGGGTACTTGGATATACCAAAATGTAATTATAAGTGATTGCCTTTTGTCATAATGTGGGAAAGGTAAGGCAGAAGATTGAGGAAGAAGATCAGAGAGCTCAATGAGGAAACAGATGAACTGAGTCAATGTGTCATTTACTTAAATGGAGATTATACATTCTTTTAAAAACGTACTAGTACTTTCTACCTATGCACACCTTTAAAAGGGAAATAATTTTAAAAACGACAGAACTCCAATACAAGTATTTTTATTAATGATAATTACTAAGAATGATTTGATGTAGAAGCCAAGATACTTCATTGTTCTGAAAGTTTATGGCTTTTGTAAAGAAAGAAAAGTATTTATTTTATCAAAGTGTTGTTTGTTGTAGTAAGGAATACGTTTTACACTTGGGTCTAGTACACACATAATTATTTACATGCACAAACCAAACACTTTTCCAGATTATACTTATCTTACTACATGTGCTTTATTTGATGTTTTCTGTTCTATTCCATTTTTTTAAAATGCTGTTTGCAGCCCTCTAAATAGATTTCTTGATACCTTTAATGGATTGCATAGAACAAGGGACACAGCAGCATACTCCCAGATGGGGTTACAGCTTCTCTTGGTTCCTTAGACACCATAAAAATGCAAAGCTGCCAGTCATTTCTGTTCATCCTGGTGACAGTTCCGTTATTTCCTTTAAGAAGCTTCATCTGGGTCCACTGCAGGAAATCTTTAAACCTTTGTGTCAACTCCAAACTGCTTGAGAGGCAGACATACAGCAATTCTGAGTCTCAGCCAGCCTGTTGGCTTAGTACATTTGGGTGCAAGTCACAAATTAATTTTCTAAATTGTTTACATAGTACCAGTACTTCTTGCCCTAGGTACTTTCACATCTATTCCTTTCATCCATGTGGGAGCTAGTAAGAATCAATCCCAGCACCTTAATAAGGCAAATTTTAATTATGTGTCTTTGGGATCTGACCATACATAGCTGGTCAGGATGAGGCTTAGGCCTGTCTGATATTCTATCCCCACAATATCTGTCCTATCTAGTGGGGATCAGGCTGATTTATAGAGCAACCTAAGGGCTTTAAATACTAATGGGTACCTCAGTAGAAACAAGGTCCTGAGACTACTATCAAGGTAGGTAGAAATGTAATGATTCAAGGAGAAAGGACCAAGCACAAATGCCTTGTAGCTAGAATGCATCACAACACCAGAAAGAGCAAGGCAAAGTTCAAGGTGAAGTAGTTTGAGAAACAATGTTACAGGTAAGTGAGGAATGTTTCATCCAGGGTTGTTATGACATAAAGGAATGTGACAAGGGACAGCTGTGTACATATAGATTCTTAGCAATGGAAGTGACACAGACTCATATTTGTGCCCAGCTGTTTGTGTCTTAAATAATCTTGGTGAGCTAGGCAAGTTTGGTGTCTTGAGGGACAGTGATGGACAGGCTCTCTATCCAGAAGTCTTAGATAACTATACTTGATGATTAAAAGAAAAAAAAACAATTTTTTGTCCACATTTGGGTTTCTACCAAGGAGTTTAGGTTTTCTAGGTGCTCTGAGTCAGCCCCAGAGGAATGGAGGGACACACTTCATTGATGTTTAGAGCTCTCTTTGTTTGATATCCACATTTTCACTCCTGGGGGCATGATGGTTCTTGCAGGGAGGAGAAAGGCTCTGACTGTGGTTATCTGGAAACCATCCTTCCTTCCCACAGTAGAGTGATCCTGGTGAAACTTTTAAGCAGTCAAAATGCATGCTGATGTTTGCTGAGATTCTGGTTTTGACTCTTTAGGATGTGTTTCTGTATTTCTTCTCATCCACAGGACATTAACTAGGGAGATCTCTGAATTTTGAATACAAAGTAAGGTTGGAAGTGAACTTTACTATTGTGATTTTTTTGTGATAGAGGAGAGAATGGTAAAGACATTAAACTTTAGATTGTTCAGAGGTTGAAGGTCACTGGGTTAATTATATTGGATTTGGAGAATGACGCAATAAAAATAAATTCATTTCTATTTTATGAGTTATAAGATTCAGTCACTCTGACCTTCTTTTTTTATGTAAAGTACATGCACTCATCATCTGAGCACCTTTACATTTGTGGAGGTATTTGTACCTTTACAAACACTGTTCTCTACACATGGAAAGCCCTTCCCCCTTCTTCCCCATCCAGTGAGGAATCACTGCCTGCCTCGGAAAAGCTTTGTATTATAGATTATTTGTATACTGTTCTATCTCTGTACACTGAAATTTCCCTAAAAATAATCAAACTAACAATTTATAGGTATATCATGATTACAATATGACAGACACTGTGTTTTGTTATTATTAACTCATTCAGTCCTCACAACAATCTGTTTATGGAGGTATGGTTATATTTTGCAGAAAAGAACATGGCATAGGGAAGTTAAGTGACTTTCTTAGGGTTCCAGAGCTGGATTTGTAACCAGGGAGCCTGCCTCCAGTACCTGTTTAATCACAATGCTATGCTGACTCTCTAATTGTTGACTGTGTCTTGTGTATCTTTGCAGCCTCAGTGTCAAGTGCAGTGTCTCATTCATAGGAGGCACACATAAATAATGTTGGTTTAATTAATTAAATTAACAAAAGGCTGCACTCTCCTAACCAGATTGTGTATCTCCTCTGCACCTGAAGTTCAGACTTGGTAAAGCAGGATTTTACACATTAATTTGAGAAGATCTGGAGGCAAGTTTTTATTCTGCCCAAGAAATGTGGGGAAGTGTTGGATGTAAATAAATAGAGTGTCCCGAGTGGAAGATGAGATGTAGCGCTTAAATAGAAAATCTCTATAGTATGAGAGATGCGTAATTCCTCATACATAATTCCCGATTATCCCAGATGTCCAGTAGGTTGGGACAGGGTGGTGATGGTATGAGGAAGGAAAATTAGAAAAAGTGTTCCAGGATTTATTTATTCTTTTGATATCTTGGTTAATTTGTGGATGATGATATGAGGAACAAAAATTTTCTTTTAGAGGATAGGAAGGAGAGCATATTAAAATTATAGCCTGAATGAAGTTATCTGTTATCCAAGAAAACAGTTCATAGCAGAACAAATCCTTTCGACAATGGTTTTTCCATGAGTGAGAAATGGCCCATTTATGACAACTTTTGTGCACTGAAAAATATTGCTGCACTACTTCTGTGATGAAATCTGTGGTGACCATGGATTGGAGATCAGAGTGAGAAGAACTTCTGGTTTACAGATGTGATAGCTAACTGGCTCCAGAATAGATTTTACCTAAAACCTTATATTCCAAACCACCAAAATCTAAGGATAGCAATGGTGAGAATTTTATGCTGTTATGAATAGCTTTCAGTCGTTCTTGGCATCTCTAGATAATCTAGGACCAGTCATATCTAATGGACAGAGCTTTAACAAACACAAAAGTCCACAGTCAAGAAATGTCTTGCTGGTTGCCTACCTTACTAGCATGGTTTTTGATTAATCAAGCTGTTTGATGATTCAGTTCTACATGAAAAGGTCTTGCCTTTGGAGTAAATCTGGGATATTAGGGAGAGGTAAGAATTTCCTTTGAGGAACTGACTGATTTTGGCCCCAAAAAGGCAGATCCCAATATTTTAAATAATGTTCTTCATCTTAATATAGGACTCTTCTTCTGAGATATATCTTCTGAAAGAATAAGGTACAAACCATGACCCAAGATCATATTGATTAATCTTAACTCAGCAGATTTCCAATGATTATTCTGTTTCAAACATTTATTAGTCATGCTTTAGTTGAGATGTACATGAGATATACATGTATATGTATATATAAATAAAGCGGGCATACAAAGGTGGTTTATACTTATTGCAGCTATTTTTATAATTAGTAGCAATTACCATAGTATTGGTAATTGCCTGAATTAGTAATTGGCCTGAATTACATATGACCTGATCATTAGAAAAATGTCAATTATGGATGATCTATGCTTTAATAAAGACTTAAGCATAACTCCAAACTTAAATATAGAGGAAATAATGATGTCATATTTTATTGATGATCTATGCTTTAATAAAGACTTAAGCATAACTCCAAACTTAAATATAGAGGAAAAAATGATGTAATCTTGGGCTGAAATAATTTAGGGTGAGAATTTATTTCAGAATGATATGTTGTGTTTTAGTTTATATTAACTGAGATTCAATGAGAGATTACATTAGTCAGAACTGAAAATGAAATTGCTAGTTAAAATATGGTATATTTGATATCAATAACTATGACTGTGATCTAACAAAAGAAAATAAATCATTTATATTCACCAAGGAGTCACCATCAAGGCCTTCAACAACCACATCCAGTGTTGTAATAAGCCTCTGTCACGTGTCATCAAATAAATATGTGTAGAATTTTAAAATAGCTAAATGTACATTTATATATTAATGTTGAATTCTGAGAACGCAAAGGCACACAATATTAACTAGAAAAGCCATACCTTATATTTTAGCAGCAATGAGAAGACAGGTTTTTTAACTCACAAGTTTTAGAAATAAAAGTTCAAGTTATTGTCTTTGGGGAAATGTATTGCTTAATTTAGACGTGCTGTCAATTTTCTTTCTCTATCTATCCTCCTAATCTCTGATTTATAACTCCGTTTTCTTATTTGAAATGAAGAGGTTTGGGCTAAATCTATCTTCAATCTAGTTATCTTTCAACAAATATATATTGAATGCCTATTTTGTGTTAGGCACTGTTCAAACTGAAGCAATGAATATAGCATAAGACCTCCAGGTAACGGGGGGAGGAGTCACAGATAGCAAGCAAAAGAGTAATAATTTCAGATCATAAAGACTGTGATAGAAGACTCTTCTCGCAGGAGGCTTTGCTGTGGTTTGCAGCTGTGCTGGTTATCACGCAGTCATTAAAGCATGCAGGAGCATTTTGGCAGCAGCAAACCTTTGGATAGCTTTCTACTATCACAGAAATACAAACAGGGATACAAAGTGAATGGGGTCGGAGTGCACACTGGTAAGATTGGCCAGAAAAAGGCTTTATGAGGCCCCAGTGATGACAGCAAGATAATGTCAAAAATCTTAAGGAGGAGTGCTAGAGAAAGGACCAGTTGAGTGCAAAGTCCCTAGAAGGGATCCAGCATGGCACATGCAAGTCACAGAAAAAAAGCCAGCAAGTCTGAAACAGAATCACAAGAGTGATAATGGGAGGGGAAAGGATGGAGAAGTGAATAGGGGTCAGAATACAGAGAATTTTACAGACCACAATAAATTGTTTATGATTTTACTTGTAGTAAGAAGCCATTGAAAGTTTTTAAGCAATAAAGTGATTTCAATTGATTTGTTATTTGAAAGGTCACTTTGATGGCAGTGAGAAAAATAGAGGGGATGGTTTGGGGTATGATGAGTAGACAAGTGACAGGGAGACCAGATAAGAAGACATTGCAAAGGTCCAAGATAAGATTTTGTCTTGAACAAGGGAAAAAAACAATGGGGATAGTGGAAGAATATTGGGTTTAGCCCATGAGTTGGAAGTAGAAGCCTTTCTAATAGACTGACTGTGGGCAATATTAATGATGGGGATTAAGGAAGACTACCTCATTTGTGCAATTAGTTTTGAGTCCCTACTATGTTCCAAGCACAAGGTTAGGCACTGGGGATTTTATGTGTGGTGAACAGAACTAGACACAGTTCTTGCTTTCAGAGGAGTTAAAATCTGGTGAAAAATAATCATGCAAGTCAATAAACAAGTAGAAGCCTAGAAAAGGGCAATGAAATAGACCTGTGTGGTATTGTAAGTTCATACAATGGAGAGAACTAATTTAGCCAGAATGTGTGTGTGTGAGAGAGAGAGAGTGTGTTCATGTGTGTGTGGTGGTGGTGGTAAGGGTGGGTATGCCAGGTGAGAGAAGGCTAAGATCTGAAAGAAAAGTAGGATATAACTAGGGAAGCAGCAGTGAAGTATGGCAGTAGGAGTGCTCAGGCCTGGTGGTGGCACAGTCAAGGAACCAATCTCAGAAGGCTGGCAGGGCTGGAGGGCAAAATCGGGAACAGTGAGAAGAGGTTGGATACTATGGCATTGAGCAGACATGGTCTCGTAGGCCATGTTTGAGAAACTGGCTTTTATCTTAATAACTATGGAAACCTTTGAAAGGAAGCTGTCTAATTGCTAAGATTTCTTCTTACTCTAAATTCTGTTTATTTCTTTGATTTAATTTGAAATATGAAAATGGTAGAGCTGTAAAATAACCTTCAAAAACCAGTGAAAGTGCTGGCATTTGATTAACATAATTAGAGAGCCTCTTAAAGAATCAGCATGCAAGATCATCTTCCCCTCAGGTGCAATTAAACGTTTCAGAATAGCTTAGTCATTACAGTCCTGGTGTTACGACACCATAAATATTATCTTTCCCAAACCTAGAATGCCTTTGGCCACTGTTCCATAGGTTGTTCTGTGACCCCTGGATTTTATGAGCTCATGCAACATGGACATATGTTCGTTCAGTGAATGCCTGTGTAGGTAAACAGATATTTATATGACAAGTTGAGTTATGAAACACCATATCAGATGATATTAAGAAGATGATTAGATAAGTTTCAAGAATTAAATAGACTAGACTATATCTGGATATCCCCACCAAACTTTCAACTCTTTAAGATGAAGAGATTAAGAATATAAAAAATTTAGAGTAATTGCTATCAGCTGGGGACAGTTTTGTTCCCAATGGAGTAATTAGCAATGTCTGGAGATAGTTTTGATTTCTGCAGCTGGGGTTAGGGTGCTACTAGCATCTAGTTGGAAGAGGCTGGCAACTCTGTTAAACATCCTGCAGCAAAACTGGATGTACAGGACATCTCCCTACAATAAGAACGAATGGCCTCAAAATGTCAATAGTGCTGAGGTTAAGAACCCCTTACTTTCGCTCATTTTAATATATTACAAATAATTTTGGCTTTCTGAAAGAAAATAACTATCACATGGATAGGGATATGCTTTTTAAAAGGAGATGGATGAGGGGAATGAGCTCACATAGGTTAAGAGTTCTTCAATTTTTGGTGCTTTTTATTTGCATTTTTCTACTTTTTCCAAAATAATTGTATATTCACTAGTATTATTTGATCATAATGAGCTGCTTATTCTCCTCTTTCTGAGGTGTTTTTAACCTGCTGAATATTGGTGACCTCTTTATCCTTCTGTTGGGGCTCAAGAATCCTCCATGGAGAAGCTCTTGGGAAGTCACATGTCTCCCAGACTGTGCTCTCACACGTATAGCCCTGTACTTATATACAGGAAAGCATTCTGCAAGCTGGATTATTCTGGCATTGTTGAGTGATCTTGAATTAGGAACCAAGTGAGAAACAAGACAAAGAGTAGGATAAATGGAGGCAAAACATTACCATTATTACTAATAAAATCTGGGTTACAGGATGTACCTTAGGTATGAGAGCCAGCTAGTCTTCCCAAATTGAACCCTATCATTGGGCAGAATTACCTGCCCTGTCACAGAAGCTCAGAGAGGGGCAAACTTCACTATTGTGAAGAGAAGGGCCTTTCCCTGGAGAAGCAGCAATGCCAGCCCTCTGTGGGAAGCTCCCTTCCATGAGGAAAAGAAGAGAAGTTGGGATGAGCACACATAGCTGTTTACTTCCAAGTTTATCAATCAGATGAGTCATGCCACCTCTCCTGGTGCAGAGTGAGGAAAGGGGAAGAGAAAGGTACTTAGTTTTACTAATTGAGCTTCATTCACGTGGAAGGAAGTATCAAGAGTGGGAAAGATGTTCTCCTCTCCCGCTTGTCCCAAAGCTACAACTGTAACTCTGCTACTACCTTTGCTACCCAATACGGTATCTACTATGTGTGACTATTTAAACTTTAATTTATTAAAATTAAATAAATTTAAAAATTCAGCTTCTGAGTCACACTGGTCATATTTCAAATGCTCAGTAGCCCCATGTGTCTTGTGGCTACCATATTAGACAATACAGTTATAGAACATTTCCAGTGGATGGAGCTATTATGAGATTTTACCCTATTCATCTTTGTGTTATCAATGCCTATAAAAAGGCCTGACTCTAAGGCCCTCAGAAATGTTTGCTGGAAAGGCACACTGGTTCATGCCTATAATCCTAAGACTTGGGGAGGCCAAGGTGGGAGGATCACTTGAGCCCAGGAGTTTGAGACCAGCCTGGGCAACATATAGGGAAAACCTCTCTCTACAAAAAAAATAAAATAATAATAATAATAATAATTAAATTAACTAGGCATGGTAGTGTACACCTGTGGTCCCAGCTACTTGGGAGGCTGTATTAGTTCATTCTCATACTGTTGGTAAAGACATCCCTAAGACTGGGTAACTTAGAAAGAAAAAGGTTTAATGGACTCAACATTCCACATGGCTGGGGAGGCCTCACAATCATGGCAGAAGGCAAAAGGCACTCTTACATGGTGGCAGACAAGACACAATGAGAGCCAAGCCAAAGAGGAAACCCCTTATAAAACCATCAGGTCTCATGAGACTTCTTTACTACCACAAGAACAGTATGGAAGAAACGGCTCTCATGATTCAATTATCTCCCACCAGGTCCCTCCTACAACCTGTGGGAATTATGAAAGCTACAATTTAAGATGAGATTTGAGGTGAGAGGATCACTTGAGCCTGGGAGGTCAAGGCTGCAATGAGCCATGATCGGGCCACTGCAACAGAATGAGCAACAGAGTGAGACCCTGTCTTAAAAAGGTTTTGGTTAAATGAATACATGAAAGTGGACCACTGCCATTTTGTTTTTCAAATCTGCATGTTGTAAAATTCTTTCCATTTTAGTGCAGCATAGATATCTTGTTAAATGAAATAAATCAGTTGAAGAATATGCATTCTATAATATTATTTTTATTTAGAAATAATTATTTGTATTCATGTGTGTGTGCAGGATGGGTTGGTGGTTGTTAAAAGCATGGAAAGAAAGTCTTGAAGTGTACATATCAGACTGTATATATCATCTGGTGGTTGAAACTGAGGGAAAGGAATAAGAAATACTTTTTTATTTAAAAATCTTGTTCCTAGAAAACTGAATTACTTTTGAGTAAAAAAACTAGCAAATTAGGTAGTATGTTAACTTTCTAGATACTCTAAGAAAATAATGGCTCTTTTCAATGTCAAGTATTAATGAAAGGCAATTTTAAGGCAATCTTAGCACTTTATGTGTTAAGAAAAACTGTATTGAAGCATAAGGACAAATAACAACCATCAGTCTAATGGATACTGCATGTAAACCACGAATTCTGTTTTGTTAGGAGTGTGCAAAATAATGTTTTATTTCCCAAAAATATAGCTTCTCTGCTATGCTGCAGAGAAGGATAGGGCCAGATGGCACAGTTCTCATTTTTCTGTTAGACCGCTTGACCCAGCAGTATACTTTCTCCGACCTCTCCTTATTGAAATTACTTTTGTTCATTGCAGAAGTAATCTTCACCCTGGAAACAGACCTAGTTGTGGTGTCCGTGTCAGAATACTGATATACTGACTGTGATAATCCTTTTGCGGCCTTACCTCACTCCTCATTTGATAGTTTATAAGCTCACAGATGCTGGACCAGAATTCAGTCCATAAAATTAAGATATTCCATTTCACAGGGCCAAATCTAAACTGCTGAAGCAAGAACACTAAAGCATGAAGTGGTGCCTTAAAAAGTAACTAGGGTCGTCTAACCCACAATAAAAATCAACCTGGTTTCAAAGGAAGATTTTTACATGCTGCAACAATTTCTTAGGAGAAAAAGGCTCTAATTATGAGAATATAAAACTCAATGAGAATGACAAATAAAATAATATAGAATGAGTAGTTCTATATTATTAGGAGCTCTGCTATTTTGTTTTATGCTCAGTTGATGGGAGAAAAGAATATTTTCATCAAACAATCGAAATGAATGAATTTAAAGGTATGATGTAATCACCTAGAAAAATGACATTAAAAGCAGTCTTGAAAATGAGCATTATAGCACACCAGCATGGCACATGCATACATATGTAACTAACCTGCACATTGTGCACATGTACCCTAAAACTTAAAGTGTAATAATAATAAAAAAAGAAAATGAGCATTATAGAGATGATATCTTTGTCATTATTGCATACATTGACTAATATTCATTATTAAATCATGATGGTTCCAGGCTTGGATAAAATTCCATTAGGATGAATATATCCCTGGGGGTTGATATTTGAAGAGGCTGAGCTGTTTGGTAACTTACTGCTTGCTTAATTTTTTTTCTTATTGTTTCTACTTTTCAGACCCACTATGAAAATGGAGAATATATTATCAGGCAAGGTGCAAGAGGGGACACCTTCTTTATCATCAGCAAAGGAACGGTAAGCTTTGGTGGCACAAGACAGTGATGCACTAGGGGAGCCTGGGGTTGGTTAGTAACTCCAGTAGGAACACATGCAGAGTCTTGTGCTATATGAGTTTGTTCCATTTTTTGACACAGAGAGGTATTAGAGAATGGATCTTACAAAAAATGATGCAGGAGGGAAAAAAAGATGTAACTTGGAAGACCAGTAAGTAGCCTACTTGCTAATAATCATAATATTAGATGACACTGATATATTTGTGTGAATAGAAAGATCTCCATAATTAAAATAATATAATAAAAAAATACCGGCTGGATGTGATGGCTCATGCCTGTAACCTCAGCACTTTGGGAGGCCGAGGCAGGTGGATCACTCGAGCTCAGGAGTTCAAGACCAGCTTAGGCAACATGCCAAAACCTCATCTATACAAAAAATAGAAAAAATTAGCTGGGCATGGTGGTGCATGCCTGTCATCCCAGCTACTTCGGAGGCTGAGACAGGAGGATTGCTTGAGCCCAGGAGGCAGAGGTTGCAGTGAGCCAAGATGGTGCCATTGCACTTCAGCCTGGGTAACAGAGCAAGACTTTGCCTCCAAAAAAAGAGAAAGTAAATACTTAGGTCACTTACAAAATTCATCAAGTCATTAGAAGCAGTAACATTGCTATAATGAAACATCTGGGCTTTGAAATCAGATGGCCTAAATTTTAATCCTGTTACGAAATTTAGTCATTTTAATGCCCTTAGGCAAGTTGCTGAATACTCTGAGGATGATAAGGATAGATATACATTAATGTTTTAAGTTATTTTCATAAAGAAATATTGATAGTAAAAACTACTAAAGGTGATAAATTATAAAGGAAGGGGTAAAAATGGGGTAGACAAGGGTTATGAATGAAAAATCATACTTTATTTCTAAAACTTTTAATTTTTCAACAATATGAATTTATTTATATCTTAAAACTAAGAAATTGAGTGAATTGGAAAATAGAATTTCTTTTAGATTAATGCTATACTATTGTATTACTAAAATACCTTAAATTTATTTCCACAGTAAAGCTATAATCATGTTTGTGTTTGTGTCATTATATGATAACCTATGATTTAAACTTATGTTTCTTTATTATATATCATTACAAGGAATTCATATCTCTGCATGTACTAAGTATAGAAGGAGATGGAGAAGGAAATGCGAATAGAAAGGAATTGATAGGCCAGTTTCCGTTTTTATAATTATCACTTTATAAATGAAGCATATTTATTTCCTCTAATTTAACAAAATGATTGACTATAACTTATAGCTCATATATAGAGAGATTTACAGAGCTACAGTGAATAGAATGCAGTGGAAGATTATAAGTATTGTTGAATCACAATTTAGGTAATTCTCCTTGGACTACTTTTGGATCAAGTGTATGCATATGTCAGTATTTACACCAGTGGCATGTCACACAAAAATGAAGAAAACAATATTTATATTTTTATTATTCCTATTCTTTTGACTGATCTCTGAATGCCTGGGATAGAAGTAGAACTCAAGGCTGACTTCTTAAAAGATATCATGAAATGACATGTCTGACCACGGTTACAGTTAAAATTATATCTTATATTTTCCAATGTTAGAAGATAAGAAAATTTTAATATTTTGTAGTTTATAAGATAGATTGTTAGAGCTTATCATTTATTGTCTTATTGTTTAGATTGACTAAAGAATCAGGGAAAATTGAAAATCGCCATGGATGTAAATTATTTGAAAAGTTGCATAGGGAATTTGTCCTGACATTCTAGATTTGTTTTTTCTTTACTACATGGCTAATTCTTCGCTATGATGCAATGATGTGTTTATCCTTTGAGATGGATTTCTGACAGTCTTTTGTTACCACCCTGTTAGTGCAAATTTTACTGCCTAAAAGTAATGCTTTGTAACCAGTTTCAGCTGAAGACAGGTGCATTAGTCATGCCTTTTTACGAGTTTCATAGTAAGTATAAGTAGAAAAAGTGTGGAAATTACACCACAGGAACCAATTCCCTTGGCAATATTTCAGAGCACTCTGGGGATTCTGGGAGGGAAGTAGTACTAATATATTAGACTCTCTTGACACATTCAAGATCTTTTACTTTAAACCAGACATAAATTTCTACTAACTTACTTTTTTAGGTCACACAAGTTAGCTGCTATGATTCTTAGTTATGTAAATTACATAATAATTGTATTAATTTTATTCATTCTAATACTAATATATTAACAATATTAATTATATTAGTTCTAATTCTAACATATTAAAATCATTAAGAATATGTCACCATATACAATAATTAGAATATATTAAGTCTTAAGAAGCAGAAGGTGAGGTCAGCATACTTAAGTCCCAATGGCAAAGAGCAGGAAAGAGAGGTGAATAATAAGAGAGTAGGCTCAGTTGAGCAGGCAAATAAGTTGTGGAACTGGAATTTTCTACAATTATATGTCATATGTTTTGTTTTAGGTGTACAGATGTCAACTTGTTTTCCCATGCATTTAAAAAATGTATAAAGGATAACCTTGGGCAAGATCTGTTTCTTGCTACCACCAAACTGGCTTTTTCTTAGAAAATGCTGTGAGATAGAGAGACACAATAGGGGCTGCCAAGCTACAAATGAAATTCCCCTTGTTCAGTTCCACTTATTTAAGTGTAAAACAATTTTTATTCTTCCATTAAGCACATTCACACAAAGAGAGAAGCATTATAAAATAAGCTTTGCCGTACTTGTTTTTCCCCCATTAAGCCTGTGCTATCTGATTTTTCTAAAACCTGAGGCAGAATGCTTGCAGTGATGATGGCTAAAATACTGGTGCTGCCTTAAGTAGAAGCTCAGTTAGTTCTCTACACTTCAATCACTCCGTTCCAGTTGCCTGGAAACGTGAGTTGCTTCTCCAACAGTGAACTATAAAGCACCGAAGATTCCTGCATATGTCCCTGCAGTTGTGTCACATCATAAAATGAACTATCTCTTTATAAATAAATCAAACCAAAATTGAACAGGGAACAGGATGGGTAAGCAAAGTTGCAGAGTTCTAATAGTAGCTCAAATAGATTTTGATTTTTCTGATTCCATTCAACATACCTCGTATCCTACCATTGGAAAAAAATGTGATTCAAAAATTCTTGTCTATCAAATGGCATTTAAAATCACATGGCTTTGCTTCATAAAGTTAACAAGTATTTAAACATGCCAATTAAATATGTTGCCTTAACACAATGTTCAGTGTTTTTTAATATAAAAAGTGTTCCGTTATGGAAATTTTATTTGCATATGTATACATATGTTTATGTATACATTATGGTGAAACCTCTGAGAAACATTTTTTTTAATATCAAGAACAAGATAAAGATATACATTATTACCAATTTTGTTTAATGTGGTACTAGACATCCCAAATACTATAGTAAGTTAAGAAAAATAAATAATATTTGGAAATAAAGAAACAGTAATTATTTATACATGATATGTTTTTAGTTTCTTTTAGGATTTTATATAGACATATATATTATTAAAATTTAATAAGAGTTTAGCAAAATCGGCATTATTCAGTTCATTTTTCTTTATTAATGGAACTGTTCTATATCTCTACACAACCCAATATAATAGCTATTGGTCACACTTGCTATCTAAAGTAAAATTATCTGACTTAACTTTAATGTTAATTTCTCAGTAGTAGTAGCCACATTGCAATAGCTGCTAGTAGTGGCTGTCTTGGACATTATAGAACTGGATATTTTACTATAAATGAATATTGAAAAAGCCATATCATTCAACATATTGTACCATATTAACAGTCTAAAGAAAAAAATCACATTATCATGCCAAATGATGCAGTGAAAGGGTGTGACAAGTATAACATCCATTCATAATAAAACTTCTCAGCAAACTGAGAATATAAGAGAATGTTCTTGCCCTGATAAGTGGTATCTACAACATGCCTACAGTTAACGTACTTAAGGTGAGAAACAGAGCAATCAGTAAATGAAAGTAACTGACAGCAAAAGGAAAGTCTTTTCAACAAATGGTGATGGAACCATTGGTAATCCATGGACCAAAACAGGGGAACCTTGACCTAGACTTTATACCTTACATAAAAATTAAATGAAAATTGGTAATAGATTTAAAAGTAAAACATAAAGCTATAAAACTTTCAAGAGAAATGTATGACTTGCGATTAGATAGGAAGAGTTCCTAGGCATGACACCACCAGCACAATCCATAAAGAAAAATGATAAAGTGGGCTTTATCAAATTTAGAAACTTTTATTCTGGAAAAACACTGTTCAGAGAATGGAAAGACAAATTACTAACAGGGAAAATTATTTGAAAAGTACACGTCTTGTAAGGGGTTTGTATTGATCCTATCCTTTATTGATCCTATTTAAAAAAACACCTAAAAATCAACAAAAAACACCAAAGTACCCACTTTAAAAAACAGAATGAAAGACTTGAACACATCAGCATGCAAGATACACAAATGGCAAATATGCACATGAAGAGGTGTTCAAAATGATTAGTCATTAGAAAAGTGCATATTGAAATCCTGAGATACTACTGCATACTTAATAGAATGGCTAACTCTAAAAACAAAAATTAACAATATCAAGTGCTAGTGAGGATGCAGAGCAACTGGTATTCTCAATCACTGCTCCTGGGAATGCAAAATGGTAAAGCCATTCTGGAAAACAATTTGCAGTTTCTAATAAAGTTAAATAAACATTTACCGTATGACACAGCAATTACTCTTTGTGATATTTATTCTAGAGAAATGAAAATATAGCTCACACAAAAAACTCTGCATCAGTGTTTGTAGCATCTCTATTCATAATTGCCAAAACTAGAAATAAACAAATTGTGTCATATTCATTCAATGAAAATATTAGTCAGCAATAAAAAACATAAACTATTGAATCTTGCAACAACTTGGATGAATCTTAAAGGTCTAATGCTGAGTAAGAAAAAAAGGTCTGAAAAGGTTAAATATTGTATTATTTCATTTATATGGCATTCTCAAAAAGATAAAATTAGTTTGATGCAGAACAGACTATAAGGGTGAGGAATGAGAAGGATATGACTATAAATACATAGCGTGAAGGAGTTTCTGGAGGTGATGAAATTGTTCTGTGTCTAATTGTTCTGGGAATTAGACAAATCTATCCATGTGTTTAAGTTCCTACAACTATATTCCAAAAAAGAAGTAAATTTTACTATATGATAGAAGTAAATTTTACTATATGATAACTTAAAAATTCATGTATATTTCTAAATACTGTAACATGTAACTAAAATACGTTTTTAAAATACCATTTCAAAAATCAAGTATCTAGGCATATCTATAACAAGAAAATGTTCGAGTCTTTTAAGAAGAAAATTGTATTTAAAATAGTATAATGAAGAGCAAAACACCAACATGGCAGAACATTAGAAAGAAAGAGAAACATATTGGGAGTTGCTACAGTAGATATCAAGACCTATTATAAGGTTCAGGTAATGGAAAAAAATGTGGACTTAATTTGACTGAAAACTGGACAAATATGTCAGTGTAAGAATGGTGAGCCCAGATAAAGATCCATGATAATATGGAAACTTGATTTAGGATGGCATGGACATTACAGGTATCACAACAATTGGTTATGCATAGGGACATAAATAAAATTGGATCCTTAGCTCACACCATACATAATGGCAGTTTCAGATGTAAATGTGAAAAGAAAAATTAGGAAAAAATTAAAAGATAATTGGGATAATACTTCTATTATCTTGGGATAAGAAAGGATTTCTTGAATAAGATATTTTAAAATGCAAACAATAAAATATTACACGGTTAAGTGTAATTACATTAAAATTAATACATGTGTTCAACAGGACACCATAAAGATGATTTAGACAAACCATAGTCTTGTGAATGAACAACAACAAAAATAATCAGTCCAATAGAAAAATTGGCAAAAAGCATGATCAGACATATAATCAAAAGAAGCACAAGTGGCTCAGAAAATAAGATGATAAAATCTCCCACATCTATTAATAATAAGGGAAATGCCATCTAATACCTACCTTTCTGGAAAAAAATCAGTCTGACAATATTAAGTATTGATAACAATATAATATAATATAATATGCATTTTCATCCATTGATGGTAGGAATGTAAGATTGTACCAAGAGTGAGTTAATACCTAGTAAAATGGAAGATGCATATACTTAATAACCTTGTTCTTTATTCATAGACGTTGGCCCTAGTGAACTCTTACCCATGGACACTAGAACACATGCATAAGAATGTTCACAGTAACACAGTTAATAGCACCATAAAAACAAAGTATAACAAAAATAAAACTGGAAGCAACCCACATTTATATCTACAGAATTAGTAAATTGCATAATATTCATATAATGGAATGCTGTTTAAACAAAGAAAATAAATTTTAGCTTTTATATGAACATGGGTGAATGAAAACCTCAAGAATAAGGGCCCAGTAACCTTTATTTTAGATCAGACTCCCTACTGAAGTTTCTGCATCTATAAAAGCCTCTTCAGCATGCAAATTAGTGTCTCTGTGATACAGCTTAGTGGTCACAGAGACACAGAGACACAGCTTAGTGGTAAGTAAAAGTGTTAAAAACTGAATTTCCATGGTTTTGAAACACTGTGTGGAGGAGTAATCAAATGGATCAGTGGAGAATAATAATTGAATTTCCTCCACCTTACACAGACCTTCTTAATACTTATAAAAATTCTGGTCTTTGACATCTAATCTCTAGATTCAGAAACTTGAAGCACAGTATTATTAAATGTGTTTAAGTGTTTGGCATTGTCTCAAGAAATTAGTTTTTTTACTTCATCACATTTTCCGGGTAGGTGAATTTTAACTAACCTTTCTGGATGACACATAGACAGTTTTGTGAATGTTAGTAGAGCTTGAGGGAGAAGTGAATTAACACAAAGGTACAAGTTACTCTATTTTTGTTTTCATTCATGCAACAAAAAACATTATCACTTGCCTTCTGTTAAGTCACAAGTCCTGTGTGTTCTAGGCTATCTATGTTGTTAGTAATGACACATTCTGTTAAAACAATTTACAACTATTTATTGAGTGCTTATTATAATTTGTGGAGAATGCCAAAGAAATACAACTTTCTTTTAAGGGCATTTTATTTATTATAGTAAAAAAGGGCCTATATGTAATTTATATATCTTTAGAAATAGAAATCCTACCAAATGAAGCATGTGGATTTTGAGGGATATAGTCAGTTACAGCCATGCAAGAAATCTTTATGAAAATGAGATGTGTCTTCAAATGAAAGCTGGATTCTTCTCAGGGAAAGGGACAGGCGTATCCTAGAGAAACTAGGATATGCATATGGAGGCATTTAGAAGGATGTTCATTTCAGCAGAATGAATAAAAGAAAGAAAAAAATTGAAACAATATAATTGCCAATTTATAGGATATGGGTAAGTAAATATATTTACATAATGAAACAAAACTCATACGTTAAAATGAATGAAATAGATTTATACCTAAGAACATGGAATAAATAATTAAAACAATATTAAGAGAAAAAAGTAAGTTGCAGAATGAGGAATACTACCTATGTTATTAATATATTTTAAAAATTCATGTACATAAACACATCAAAAGATGGACAGAAATGCTCACCAAGTTCATTATAGTGGTTGCTTCATAAAGGCAGGAAAATTAGAATAGAGATGAGGAGTGAGATCAAATTTACTGGTAATGTATTATTTCTTTAAAATAACTTGAAAGGATAACAAAATATTTGGAGGTAAGCTCTTGTGGTTTTCCTGGGAATTTGTGATGTTGTTCTTTGGTCCTTTTGGTGGTAATTTAAATGCTTTTTCTTTATAAAAATAAGAAAAGAAACAAGAAACGGAATTAACTTCATTAATTAGTGTTCCTTTGTCCATTGTGGGTAAGCAGTGGATCTAAACTTTCATTGTTTCTCTTTGCAGGTAAATGTCACTCGTGAAGACTCACCGAGTGAAGACCCAGTCTTTCTTAGAACTTTAGGAAAAGGAGACTGGTTTGGAGAGAAAGCCTTGCAGGGGTAAGTAGATCATGTGTTATACAGGTTTTTGTTTGAGTGCTACATAAATTTCTGTCTGAAATTTTGAGCTCCTAGCACAATAGGCTTTTTATTTAGTGCTTATCTCAATATCAAATATGGACCCTTGATGATAAATACATTTTTATTTATTTTCAGCTGGACTTGGAATCTGTTTGAATACGTTGTGGAATAAATTCCTTAATTTCTAATAAATCAGTGTTATATTAATTGGAAACATTTTCAGGTTTGTGTCCTTAATTGCAATCTCTATAACAACTTCAAAGAGAGGAATTCCCTGCTAAACTTTGTGCAATGATTTTACTCAGAATCATTAAGATAGTTGGTTGAAATTTTTGAAATCCCTAAACCTGTTTGTACAAACAATTGTTATGGGGTCTTTGGGGTGTCAATTTCCTGGCTGGAAACCTGTGGCTGGTGGGCGCCTTCACCTGAGTTTTGCTTGGGCCCATTGGGCTCATTATGCCCACTTGGCCTGGCAGGTTGCATTCAGTTCACACTACCGACCTGGTTCCCACATCTTCAAGGGAGACTGCAAGTCAGGCGTGAAGTGGCAAGGGGCACGTGAGCGAGTGTGGGGTCTGGCCACTGCACAGGCAAACAAACTGGCTGCTGCCGTGAGGTGGGCAGCTCCAGGTGCTGGCATGGGATCTTTGTAAGGCTGCGGCCGAACCAGGCACACCACAAGCAGCTTCCCCGGCTAGCATCAGGGAATGTGGTCGTGCCTGGAAGCTTAGAGACACCAGGAACTGCATAGCCCCAAAGCGGGAGTCACAGCCCTGGCTCGGGGAGCTCCCAGGTCTGGGCCCCCCAAAGGGCTGCAGCTCTTCTCTCCTTGTCTTCACTTACAATGTGGCAAGCAAGGGGCATGTTTCAGCCCTGTTTGTATTACAACTCTTTTAGCCTCACCATTCAGTGGTTCCCGATTTCTTGACCTGTGACCGGGAAGAATGTGGTACGCAGACAAGTGGAGGTTGAACAGGACAAAGAGGAGCTTTATTGAACACTAGAATAGCTCAGAGAAAACCTGCAGTGGGCAGCCCCTCTCCACAGCCAAGGTGTCCCAATGTGTGTTCAGCTCTTAGCAGAGAGGGTAGCTCCTCTCTGTAGGCAGGTCGTCCCAATGAGTGTTCAGTTGTCAACAGAGAGGGTAGCTCCTCTCTGCAGCTGGTCATCCCATCATCTGCAGCTCTCAGCAGAGAGGAGGCCCTAGAGTGGGTAGCTCCTCTCTGCAGCTGGTCATCCCAATATCTGCTCTGCTCTGGTTAAGCCTGGGGCTTTTATGGGCCTCAGAGGGGCAGAAATACATGCTGATTGGTTCATGAGTGGCAATAGGCAGGTCCAGAAAAGGCACTGCAAGTTCCCACTCTTGTCCATGGGACTGGCAGCCTGGCCTCCAGCCTTCAGGCCCTCCCTGGTCTGAAGGTGGGGCCTTAATGGGGATCCACCACGTTTCTGCCCAGGAACCTGTCTGCCTCCTGCTGCCATTCATGACACCCAGGCTGTAGGTGCCAGGGGCACCTGCAGGCCAGCACCAAGCTGCCGTCAGCCCACCACTGGATTCCCTCCTATGCTCATTGGCACCCAAAGCCCAGAGGGGGGTGAGTTGTCAGGGGACTGGCATGCCAGCACTGCCCTGAGCATGTGCACACCTGGCCGGACTGTGACAGTGCCTGGGCTCAGTCCCAACTTTCCTCCAAAATCAGAATAGGAGCCAAAAACAGAGAGAAGCCAGGCAGTGGGAGCAGGCACCTCTGATCCTGTGAGGGCCAGGGGGCCCTTCCCAGACCCCTAAGAGTGCAGAAATGCCTGGGTCTAGCTACCTCCAAGAGGGCAGGGATCTTGTCAGCTCCTAGTCCCCCAACAGCACAGGGGAGGCCCGGGTCCATGGCCGTGACTTCGGGCAGCTGTAGCTGCACCGGGGAGAAAAGGGCTCCTGCTTCCCCCTGCCTGCCCATGACTTGGGTGGCTGCAGCCTTGCCCTGGAAGACAGGGCTCCTGCCTCCTCCCAGCCCCAGGAGCACAGGGATGCCTGGGCCCACAGTCGTGGCTTAGGCAGCTGCAGTGGTACCCAGGGAGCTCCCATCCCAACTCAGAAGGGGTGGGGGTCCCTCCTGTCCCCGGCTCCTGCTGGCTCCATGGGTGTGCAGACCTGGCCATACCTCCCTGCTGCACCCAGTGTGATGGCAGCAGCAGCTCCAGATGGCCTGCCACTGCCATCACAATGATCACAAGGCAGTGAAGTATTTCCAGGGTTCACTTGTAGGTCATAATTGTCATCACTCTTATGGTGGTAGAGGTGGAAGAGTAGGTGGAGGTAATGTACATCTGGATTCACTATGGGATAGGCTGTGAAGGCTAGACTAGTAGAGGTGTACTTCTGTGAGACTGATACTCTATTTTTAAACTAAGACATCAAGAAGCAAGCACTTGGGGGTTCTTCTCATGTATCATGAAGGAAAAACTGAGTTGACTTTTTACCATGCATTTTACAGAATGCATGATAAAAATATTTGGGTATCCTACTCTCATTTTCCAATAACCAGTATATCTCAGTTATCATTAAATATAGATAAGCCTTTTCAACATTCAGTGCTGTATGTATATACACTACTTGAATAAGCAACAACCAATAAACATTTATTTTTCTATCGAATTTCAGGTACAGGAGTGTCTCCTAGGGAGGGACAGCAATAGGACATGATTTACTCCTAGCATATGGGAACAGTCAGTTCTGTTTTCATTTCAAATTGTGCCTTCATTTAAAAAATTACATTATGAGCCTTTTTCTTCAAAGTACTTCTAAGAAGTAATTTAGGAAGTTATTGTTTTTTAAGCCACAATCAGATGACAGGTTTTATTTTCTTTCTATTTCACAGCTTAATAAGTGAAATAAAGATATTCTGATAAATCATCTTACTCAGGCTATATTACCTTATGAAAATTCAGAAGTAACTACACTCAACTTTCCTTTTTTCTCCTACTGAGTTCATTTTATCCTTATCTGATGAACATATAGTTGCCATTAGATTTTTTTCAATGTCAAAGTTGGAAAAAATAGTATTTTTGGTGTAGATATACAGAAGAGTGAAATAAACATTATCTTTCTAGTATAAATGTATCATCTGTATCTTAATCTTGCTTTCCTTTGATTATTAAATGTGTCAAAAGATGGCATTTTATAGAAATCAGGTGGCATTTTATAGAAAGACGCCACCTGATTTCATTGGTCCAAGATTAAATACCTCTGTGGAAAACAATGTTATTTCCAACAGAATCAAAGAACCAGAAATATTTACAAACTGAGGTCGCAAGTGGAATGCCAGAAAATAAGGCCCCACTCTTTCTCTTCACATCTACCCCTTACCCCCATTTCCTCACATCTCTTTCTTATGCTGTTATTCTCACTTTCTCGCTATGGAACCTGGTTTTATTAGTCTACTCTAAGTGCCCTCTTAAATGTCACCAGAGATTTGCTAGTTACCTCATGAAATGGTCCTTTTATTTTTTTCTTCATTTGACTTCACTTCTCAGCCATGATTTTACATTGTTGACCACCCTTTCTTTCTTTAAATTCTCCACCCTTCGGGACCCTTTAAATTATTGGCACTCTTTAGAATTTATTTCATTTCCTAAAATTTGCTAATATTATGTCCTCAACTGTATTTCATAAACCTTGGTAAGCTCCTCCAGATATATGATTGCATAATACCTCAATGAAAAGAAGTCCCAAATATTTATATTCTTATTTGAACCCGGTGTCTGGCACTTATCAAATACCCACATATTTTTTAACAAATGAATGAGTGAATGAATGAATAGATGAACAAATGAACCTCTCGAATGATGTCCAATCTTAAAGTCCCTTCTTCCATTGATCACATTCAGGACTTGAATTTGCCTGGCAGTGGATAGGGGTTATGAGCTCGCTTGACCATGGGGGGCAGGCTAGCGATGTAAATGACTACAATAGGCTAGTAAAACAGGTGGCAAACTGGGAAGTCTTATGTGATGAGGACGGAAATTACTGAACTCCAGCTTGCTGCTGCTCTGTAAGAATGTAACCTCGGCTTTTTAAGAAAAGCAGAAAAAAACCTAGATTTTAAAAATATGAAATGTGATTTTGTAATCTGATTTTTTAAAAAAGCTCTGTAAACCAACAGACCATTTCTGCAAACTCTTTGGCGTGTGGATGCCATTTTGTGATTTCTATCACTCAGATATGCCTCTTTAAAACCTGTCCTTTGCTTCAAATGAAGGAAGCCTATTAACTCATCTTGATTATTTTCTTGTTTTGATGTTTTGACATTTTAACATTTTGATATCCTATGCCTGTAACTTGTTTTTCACTGTGTCTAGGTTTTTTTAATCTTTTGTTTGCATTTCAATATTTTTCACAAGAAATTCCAACATTTCGCAAATCAAATTGATTTGTTTCACTTGTTTCCTTCTAAATAACTTAGAAATTGATATAACTTTGATATATAAAATCTTTTGGGCAACTGTGTATATCCTTTGGGTAATAGCTATGCTTGTTTACAAACTATATAGTTTTTATACTTGGAATAAAAATTGTAGAGCCAGCATTCTCTGTATGTACAGAACAGAATTTCAGATTGTGGTTTTCTCACAAATAAAATTTGTGTGTACTCGGAATTTTGGTTTTATTCTCTTGAAGTTGTTCAGCAGGCAATTAAATATTGATAAGTTTCTGGTTGGAGATTGAGTGAAATGAATATATGTTTGACCATTCTTTTTAAATTTGAGAGTGCATAAATACTAGTACTGATTAAGCACACAGTAGAAAATGGAATGGCATTGCCGAAATGTAAACTCAACACCCTTTCTCCAGAACTCAGCCTCATGACTACTATCTAGTTCTGCCTCTAAAAGTAACAAGCTTTATTTTCTTGTTGGATGGAGATAGTAGAGTCATAAATTGAGTCATCTTATAAACTGTATTATTAACATCCTTTAACCAATAGCATCTTATTATTAGAAAAATTTGAGTCTCTTTCACTTTAGTTGACATAAAGCAAATTGTGCAGTATTGTTTGGCTCAAGCATCTTTTTTTTTTTTCTTTCCTTGCTCTGATAAGTGTTTATACACACCAAAGAGAGGGTAAAATGTTTACTTTTTACAGAAGTACTCCCTTATATATATATGAAAACTAAAGGTGTGTTTAAGAGCAATCACTTCACGTTTAGTTCAATAACTCATAAGTCAATCCATCTATACTTTGACTTACCATTGCTTCAAGATCCCTACTTGAGGCCGGGCGCAGTGGCTCACGCCTGTAATCCCAGCACTTTGGGAGGCCGAGACGGGCGGATCACGAGGTCAGGAGATCGAGACCATCCTGGCTAACACGGTGAAACCCCGTCTCTACTAAAAATACAAAAATCAGCCGGGCATGGTGGCGCGTGCCTGTAGTCCCAGCTACACGGGAGGCTGAGGCAGGAGAATGGCGTGAACCCGGGAGGCGGAGCTTGCAGTGAGTCGAGATCGCGCCACTGCACTCCAGCCTGGGCGACAGAGCGAAACTCCGTCTCAAAAAAAAAAAAAAAAAAAAAAAAAGATCCCTACTTGACTTGAAACCATATGGAATACATATAAACATCAGATGATGGCAAATTCTAAACCGAATATTCACTTTGCATCTCCAGTGATAGGAAATATGGTAGACCAAGTTGTACCCAAAAGGGATGGGATTAAGCTCCCAGTAGCCACCTTCCTTTCTTTCCCCTAACTTTTGAGTCTTCAGCATAGCATATGGCTAAGAGATCCAGTTCAGAGCCAGATTGCCTGCTTTGGAACTTATTCTGTCATTTATTAATGATTAGTCACTGAGAAGAATTTCTTTTATCTGAAATGGGGATTATGATTACATCTAACTACTTGGGTTATTGGAGGAGGAATCAAAAGGATACTTACAAAGAATTTGGGTGAGTGCATATAATTTAGTTTAATGCTTCCCTAAAGTGAGCTGTCATCATCACTACCACCATCATCTTTATCTACATCATCATCTTCATCATCATCATCATATCATCATACCAGCACTGTTCTGCTACCACTTGATAAAGTTTAGTGTACTGGCAAAATTGACATAGCATTAGATTTTGAGTCAACCACTCATTGATTGACTTTCAGCAAGCCAGTTAAGCTCCTGTAAACTAAGCCAATTGAACTAGGTGATCTTTAAGTTTCGTTAGGTCATAGCTTCTGGTTCTCTGAGAGTTGGCCCTTTTCCACCTGGAACAGACCCCTGAATGCCAAGTGCAGCCCTGAGTTACCTGTTAAATGGTGGCATTTAATACCAAACCACTGTCAGCAAGGAACTTCCCTCCAAGAACTTTCCCAGCTGTTGCCTCTCATTCTGAGTACCTGTGCCACATGCCAGGCCCTGTTCATGTTAATGCAAAAATGAATTAGCCAAAGTCAGTTGAATAGACATTAATATTAGAAATCTGTATTTCCTTATTTGTTTTCACTTCATAGTCTGTGATCATGGAAAAGTTAATTAACATTTCTGAACTTGCTTCTTTGTTTTATCTTCTGATGTATATTTTTTTCTTTTAAAAAATTAATAAAATTTTGCTGGGCATGGTGGCTCATGCTTGTAATCCCAGCACGTTGGTAGGCTGAGGCAGGCAAACCACTTGAGGTCAGGAGTTTGAGACCAGCCTGGCCAACATGATGAAACACTGTCTCTACTAAAAATACAAAAATTATCCAGTTGCGATGGCACAAGCCTGTAATTCCAGCTACTCGGGGGGCTGAAGTAGGAGAATCACTTGAACCCAGGAGGTAGAGGTTGCAGTGAATGAGATCACACCACTCTCCTCCAGCCTGTGAGCCTGAGTGAGACTCCATCTCAAAAACAAAAAAGAAAAGATAAAACAATAAAATTATAGTACAGAAATTAAGTACTGGATATGGATTTTAATATTTTTCCATATTTGAATTTGATTATTATTTATTTATATAGAAGTAAAATGTTATGAAAACTATTCAAGCTGCTTTTGTATCCCACCCGCGTACTTCCTCTCCTTCCCAATATCACCATTCTGAAGCTTATTGTATGCATCCTCATTGCTCATGTGTCTATAAATATGTCTATAATTTATTGTGTATATATGTATTCATATTTGTATTTAAAATTTTACCCATGTGAAATATTATTCTGTTTCATTCTCGGTCAATATATTATTTTTTTCTTTTCCTTCTATTGTCATAGGCATTGCACTTATGTCATTCCTTCGTTTAGAAGTTTTACCTTCTTCTATTTTAATGATTATAACCTTTATATGTTAATATGTATATTTAACATGTAACACTAATCAATAGCTCTATTCCTCTCTTGAATAATAATATAATATTAAGTGTGTTAAACTCCAAATTAATTACTCCTACCAATCTTCTAGGTAGTTTTCTACTGGTCCCCAAATATTAATCATTATTATTACTGTATTTTTTCAGACACAACCAAAACCTAATTATTTAACATTTATCAACTCGTTTACAAATTCCTTTGCCCACTATTGCTCCTGTAACCCACCTCATTTCTTTTAGATTTATTCTTTGAAGAGATGATTGGTTTATACCTTCTGCCCTTGCCTACACATGAGTGAATTTTGGGTTAGGTGTAAATATCTAGGTCAAATTTCATTTGAAGTGTTATTACATTGTCTTCTGACATTCATGTTCTGCAGCCAGTCAAATCACCATTCCTTTGTAGGTAAACTGTCTCTCTGGTAGCTGTTTCTGTCTTTGACATTATGCATTTTTGCTATAATTAATGTAGGTACAGATATATTTATCAATAAATGAAGAATAAAACTCTGTGCATCTCCTTTTGAGAATGCAGTTTTTTTTCAATCCTAGAAAATTCTCAGCATTATTTCTGCATATATTCTTTCCCCCGCTTTCTCTTTTCTCTCATTTTGTAACTTTTAGTGGCCTAGACCTAACCTCATCATCATATGTCCTTACCTCCTTATTCACATTTGAATCTTCTTTCTCTGTGTCATTCGGTGCTACATTTTTAATAGAAGCTGGGCAGATTGTCTCAGATGGTCATGCCATTCTCTACTTCTTCCTTCAATTGTATCAAGTCTTCAGTTCAATTAATACACTGAGTAGGTTCCAATGACTATTTTATAAAAGTAATTTTAGAAGTTCTACTTGGTGCATCAAAGTGCTTAGGAGTGTGAGCTCTGAAATGAGACTTCTTGGGTTCAAACCCCAGCTCCATTGTTTATGAAATGTGTGATCTTGTTGATGTTCATCTCTGTTTCAGCTTCATGGTTTGTAAAAGTAGAATAATAGTGCTTGCCACATAGGGTCAAGGTGATTAATAGGCCAAATAATGTATATAGTATGTATGCATGTTAGAATAATGTCTGGCATATACTAAGTGTTTGATAAATGTGAGGTATTATTGCCATTATTTTATTATTTTTAAATATCTTTTTTCTTTTCCTTTATTTATTCATATTTTTAATTTTGATTCAGAAGGTACATGTGCAGGTTTGTTACATGGGTGTACTGTGTGATGCTGAGGTTTAGGCTTCTAATACTCCCATGGCCCAAGTAGGGAACATAGTACCTAAAAGGTAGATTTTCAACCCTTGCCTCCATCTCTGCCTCCCCTCTTTTCAACTCTCTAGTGTCTATTGTTCCCATGATGGTGTTCACATGAACTCAATGTTCAGCTCCCACTTATAAGTGAAAACATGTGTATTTGGCTTTCTGTTTCTGCATTAACTGGTTTAGGATAATGGCCTCCAGCTGCATCCTATGTTGCTGCAATGGACATCTTAAATATCTTTTACATTGTTTCTTATATCATCTTTTTTTGCTGTATGTCTTCAGAAATTATTTTTAGAATGTCAAATTCTTTGAAACTTTCTGTTAGTTTCACTTTTGGGGTGCACATTCTTCCATTTGTCACTTCCACCAACTTTCCTTCCGTGTGTGGTTTAGTATAGCTGAGGTGTGCTTGTCTTGGGTGGGGGTGGGGGTGGGGTTTTTTGGTGTTTTTATTTTCTACCACATACCCATTTTCAGTGGAGTTAGTGGACTGAGGGATTGATTTTCTTGTGCTCACGTTATTGAAGCATCTCTATGTACCTATTTTATATGTTTCATATTTGCCTCTGCAAAGATACGTTTTAGCTTAATATCCCTGTAACTTGAAGATAACATTGAAAGAATTCAGTTCTTCCAGTTACAAGGCTTGGGTTTCTGTTTCTCTCAGAGAAAGACTCTTGACATTTACTTGGGCTGACAGAGAGAGTTATTTATACTGCGTGTGCCTTTTGTGTCGAAATGCTCCAGGGCTCTGGCCTTATGAAGGACTCAGTCCCAGTCGCCCTCTCCCGTGGGGCCATCACCAGGCTCCTTCACCCAGCCCTTATGACTCCTGTGCGGCTCCAGCTTGTTTCTCCAGCCTTGGGACCCTTCTCTTTCCAGCACCTGAGACTCTCAGGGTTTATTGTTTTGCTTTTTTTTTTTTTTTTTTTTTTTTTTACGTTTTTCATTTTAGTGAATATTATAATTAATTTGGTTTTTAGTGAAGATTATTCTCGTGAGGATTATAGTGAATAATCTATGGAAAAAGTAACACAATGTCTGGTGGGAATTTTTATTTCTGTTGTTCTGGATTTGTGGCTGTCCAAAACAAAACAAAACAATACAAAACAAAACAAAAAGATGCTGTCCTCTCACTTTTCTGGCCTGAGTTATTCTCCTCTTCAGGATTTATAAAGAGGAGATTAAAATAATTGATGTACTAGGTGCTATAGGAAAAGCACAGAGTATCATAGTAACATTTTTTCTCCACCCCAGAACTTTTTCCTACGGGGCAAGTCAACTTAGCTGTCACACAAGTATCTCACATATCCCTTGGACAAAAGTAAACTCATTTTCTTTCCAACTCCAATCAAGTCTATTCTTTTTCAAGTGAATATTACATGTGTTTATCAAACCAGAAATTTGGACATTATCCTTGACTCTTTCTTCTCCTAAAATTTCCTCTCATAATAACGAATCCTGTTTGTTCTACCTCTTAAATAACTCTCAACTTCAACTCTCAATCTGCTTCTCACCACCCTCATGCCACTGTTCCTGTTAGTGCCACCATGATCTGTCTAAATTATAGGACAGCCACCTAATTGGTCTCCCTGTGTCCAGTCTTCCGCACTTTTTATCCATTCCCCTCTTTGTGATGATGACAAAGTATTTGTATTAAGTTTCTTAGTGTGGCCATAATAAATTACACAAACTGGGTGGCTAAAACAATAGCAATTTATTCTTTCACAGGTCTGTAGGCTAGACATCCAAAGTCAAAGTGTCACCAGGCCACACTCCCTTTGGAAGCTCTAGGGAGGAATCTGTTCCATGCCTCACTCCTAGCTTTTGGTGGTTCCCAGCAGTCCTTGGCATTTTTTGTCTTGGAGCTACATCACTTTAGTTTCTGTCACTGTCTTCACATGGCTGTTTTCCCTCTGCGTGTGCCTCTGTATCAAAATCTTTCTTTATGAGAACACCAGTCATTGAATGGAGGGCCCACCCTGATCCAGTATGGCAGCACCTTAACTTGATCATATCTGGAAGACCTTATTTTCAAATATAATTACATTCACAGGTTTGAGGGCTAGGGCTTCGACATATCTTTTGGGAGGGCACAAATCAACTCACTACATTCTCTAAAGCAAATCGCGTCATGCCACTTTTCTCCTCAAAGGCTTGCTCTGGCACTCCCTGTTGTGAGAGCTGCTCCCATATCATTGCCGCAGTCTCATGATCAGCTACATCCTGCTTCATTATCTATGCTGTAATCATACTGAGATCTGTTAGGTCCTCATCATCCCCATGATTTATTTCACTTTTAGGTATTCATTTGTAGTAACATTTTGTAATTCATCTGTTCTGGCATGAAAGAGTGGCTGAACTTACAACAATCTCCAAATGAGATATTAGAACCTGGAAGTCCAGCACAGCACAGGACCCAAATACATAGGCATGTAGAAGCTGACCTGTTGCTCTGAAGATGCCTGGACCCATTATATGGACCTTAATTAAAAGATACCTGTGATATAATGGCCCATTGGACTTTGATGTCAAGGAACTCATTACAGGATTAATGGAAACTGTATCCTGATTTTAGAGAAAACATAATGCATAAAAAAATTATACACACATGCAACCTCCCCTTCATATCTCAAATTATTGATATTTGTATGGGAGCGCCTTAGCATTTGGACTAGACTACTTCCACAATAATCAAGATTATTTAATAAACAAAATTTGAATCCTTCCTCTGAACTTCTCTGAACACCTTCACCTGAAACATACAGTTAGTTGTACAAAAAAATTATTGTTGCTGTTGTTTGAATTTACTTAATAATCTTGCTAATGTTTTAGTGTGTACCTTAGACTCAAGTATGCCTAAATTCTTGATTTAGCTCATTATAATAGGTA
This sequence comes from Homo sapiens, assembly GCF_000001405.40. NCBI lineage: Eukaryota > Metazoa > Chordata > Mammalia > Primates > Hominidae > Homo > Homo sapiens. Next base: position 52,074,138 of record NC_000010.11, read on the forward strand.
CAAATTATCAGTAACTGACCAGTAACTAATGTTAATAAAATACATTAGTTTTAAGTAAGTTGGGAAATTGGTTTTTTAGAAAGCTTCTGTGAAATGCAAGGAGATTTTTGAAAGAGGACTTTTCTTCTAGAGGAAAGCTAAGGGCCCGCTTACATGAATGACTGTTTATAGAAAAGGGATCAGCTTTTTATAGAAGATTGGAGAAACATCAGGGTGTCTTAGTACTTTTCCATAAAATGGTTTATTTATCTCTACTGTCTAAAATGTAAGGTCATTTTCCGTGGTGGAAATTGAGCTACTTATAAAAACAATTCAGTCTCTCATTGTTACTCTACAACATGTCATTCAGACAAATAATTCCCTTCAGGTGCCACAAGATAAGAAAAAATAATGTAAATTTGAAAATCGCTTCAAAAATGGACATAAAAATGTTTCACTTGGAGTTAATTTTCTTGCTAATGAACTCAGCCGGTGTTTTGTGTCTCTGTCATTCTCATTCCTTCCAAGTCTAAATGATTGCTTCTTAATTTTTCCTTTATACAATTGTTAATAAATCATGACTTGCTATAAATCATACTTTGGACAGGCAACAAAGATTTTAATTGGCTAGATTCACTGTCATTACACTAATCACTTCTGATGCCTACAAAAGAAATGCTTTAAGGTCCTCTAAATTCTTGCCAGAAAAAAATTTGAGTGTAACATTACTCATGTGTTCTGATTAAGACTGTATCGCATAAAAGGAGCATTTGCAACTGTATTTGGCATTGCATGGTTCTTATTCCTTGTTCATACAATGAAATGGAAATGAGAAGTATCTGAGAAAAGTATGCTATGTGATAATTGCCTTATCTCCTATTCCAGGCATTTAGGAAAAGTGCAAGATTATTTTTAGAATATTTCAGTAATATTTAAAGGACTTTAAGTCCACTAACTTTTCCTGGGCCATTTCGAAAAATGTCAATAAATAATCGTATAGGTACTTATTATTTAATCAAGCAACAAACAATTAGAAATTGAAATTAAAAATACCACTTATGATAGCATCAAAAACTAGGGAGTAGTTACAGATAAATTTGTAAAAGATGTGTAAGATCTCTTCACTGAAAATTACAAAATGATTCCAAGAGAAAACTGAAGATATTACGTTCATACGTTGTAAGACGCAGTATTATTCTCCTAGATGGATCTATACGCTCACCGCAATCCCAATCAAAATGTTACTAAGATTTTTTTGGTTGAAATTGACAAGATGATTTTAAAATTTATGTGGACCTAGAATTTATATGGACCTAAAATTTATATGAACAATTTAGAAAAAAAGAAAGTTTGGAAGACTAACTCCATCTGACTTCAAAGCTTACTTTAAAGCTGCAGTAGCCAAGGCAGTGTGGTATTGATATCAAGTTAGACAAATAGATTGATGTAGCAGAATGAAGAGTCCATAAATCAACCACACATATATTGCCATTTTAGTTAGCTTAGTTAGCTTTGCCGTTACAAAAAATACTGTAGATTAGGTGGCTTAACCAACAGAAATTTATTTTCTCACAGTTTTAACGGCTGGAAGTCTGAGGTCAAGATGCTAACATTGTCAAGTTCTATTGATTGCCCTCTCCCTGGCTTGCAGACACCCTTCTGGCTTTGTGCTCTCATAGCCGTTCCTCAGTGAATTCATGTAGAGAGAGAAAAACCACCTGCTCTCTGGTATCTCTTCTTGTAAGGGCACTAATTCCATCATGAGGGCCCCACTTTCATGACCTCATCTAAACCTAAGGATCTCCCAAAGGCCCTGTCTCTAAATACTGTCACATTGGGGGTTAGGGCTTCAATATACACATATAAATTTAAAGGGGATAATTTATCAATTGATTTTCAACAAAGGTTCAAATGCAATTCACTTAAGAAAGGTCAGATTTTCCACAAATGATGTTGAAACAATTGAAAATCCATCAAGAAAAAAATGAACTTGAATCCATACCTTGCACGACATACAAAAATTAAGTTAAAATGGATCATGGACCTAAATGTGAGATCAAAACTACAATCTTCAGGAAAAAATAGACAATAAATTTTGTGGACTTTGGTTAGATGAAGATTTTTACATCAAAACATAATCTATAAAAGGAAAAAAAGGGGCCGGGCCCAGTGGCTCACGCCCGTAGTCCCAGCACTTTGGAAGGCCGAGGCAGGCCAATCACTGGAGGTCAGGAGTTCAAGACCAGCCTGGCCAACATGGCGAAACCCTGTCTCTACTAAAAATGCAGAAATTAGTTGGGCATGGTGGTGTGCACCTGTGATCCCAGCTGCTCAGGAGGCTGAGGCAGGAGAATCGCTTGAACCCAGGAGGCAGAGGTTGCAGTGAGCTGAGACCATGCCACTGCACTCCAGCCTGGGCAACAGAGCAAGACTCTGTCAGAAGAAGAAGGAGAAGGAGAAGGAGAAGATTTTATTAAAATGAAGAATTTCTGTTTTTTGACAAACACTATTTAAAGTAGGAAAAGGCAACCCACAGACTGGGAGAAAATATTTGCAAATCACATATTTGAAAAAGAACTTGATTCCAGAATATATACAGAGCTCTCAAATCTCAATAATGAGAAAATGAATAGCCTAATTTTTTAAAACATCCAAATTATTTGAACAGATATTTCACCATGAAGAGAAACTAATGGCAAATAAGCAAGTGAAAATTGTCTCAACGTGATTAGTCATTAGGGAAATGAAAATTAAAACCACAAGGTAGTGCCACTGCAAACATATTAGAATATCTAAAATTAAAAGGATTGATCATATAAAGTATTGGAGAGGATGTAGAGTATAAAATAGTACAACAACTTTGGAGAACAGTTTGGCAGTTTTTTTTTTTTTAAAACTTAAACATATTACCTACCATCTGACCCAGCCATTCCATTCGTAGGTATTTACATGAAACATGAAAGCTTACATGCATACAAAGACTTGTACAAAAATGTTATAGCAGCTTTATATTTAATATCTCCAAATTTGAAACAACAGAAATGTGCATCAATAGATGAATAGGTAAACAATGGTGCTAGAGCCATGCAATGAAGTAGTATGTAGCAATAAAAATAGTGAAATAGTGATGTACTCAGAAACAGATTAGTATCAAAATAATTACGATGAAAACTTCAAAAATATTTACAATGAGTGAAATAAGCCAGATTAAAAAAAGTACATGCTGTATAATTCTATCTATCTAAGATATCTAAGATCTATCTAAGATATTATCTGCTTTCTGTCACCATAGATTAGTTGCCATTCTATAGAATTTTATATAGAGATGACAGATGGCAGGAGACAGAGATTATAAAGGGATACTAATAAACCTTTGTAGATGATGGATATTTTCATTATATTGATCATGGTGACAGTAATTAGAATGTCTGCAAATGCCAAAAGTTTTCGAGTTGTACATTTTAAATGTGCAGCTTATTTAATGTCAATTATACCTCAGTAAATCTAATATGACGTTTTAAAACTCACTAGACAGTCGTACCCACTATCACTTTCATGGTTCTACACACAGGAGGCTCAGAGTTCTCTATGCTTCTATTATCAAAACATCTTTTAATAACATTTTAGTTCTGCAGTAGGTTTTACTACAGTCACCAATAGCAGAATACTTTAGGGCTCATTTGGGTAAATGGAATTAGATGCCCATGAGTGCAATAAACTCACTGACAGTAGTAATCATCTTCTATAAAGGCATGGGGTTTTGAACAAGTCAAGTAATGGATAACTCGAACCATGCAAGCAGGGATAGGCAAAAGGGTCTTGTCTTTGAGAGTCAATTTCTGTGCTTAGAGGTGCCCTCAGCAGCAGTGGATGACAGTTGTCTGCCGCCCAGATGGCCGACTGCCACTCTCACTGTCTACTCGACGACATCGTTGCTGCAAGCCTGCTTCCCATATGGGGAAACATGTTGCTTTGAAAGGAACATTTTCCACACACATTCTGTAAGAAGAATACAGGTTTTCTACCGCCTACATCCATATGCACTTAATTCCCTTAGAAACATGGATTTGCTAACCTGGAGAAATAGAATTTGTTTACTTTAAGTCTTTTACATTGTATTACCAAACACAAATAGTCAAGAATTGTAAAACATGTACTTGAAGTTAATCTTAAAATTGATAAAATTTTAAAATAACCACTAATTATTTTTAAAATAATCATTTTTTAAATATATGGGGGAAAGATAAATGTATGGTTTTTATGTTTCTAGACCTACCCAAGAATAGTAAGGATTTGAGATTGCGGAAAATAATAGGTTATAGAAACTTTCCTACAAGAAACTATTGACATTTCATATCATTCTAACTTCCTACATGTGTACACTATTCCATACACTACCATGAGCTAACCTATGATAATCATGTCCCTGTATGCACCTGAGAGGTAACAAAAAGATTAAGCCAGCTGTCACACACCAGAGACTACCATATACCACAATTATTTTTATTGCTTCTCATTTTAACTGCTATTCTTATTCAAAGGAAGACTGGATAAATTATTCTGTCACTAGCAACAACAATTTCATTAATTTTCCATTTGCTAAAGCAGAGTGAGTCATTACGAACTGGAATATAAATCTTACAGTTTCTCCTTCTAGCAGTGTCTAAATATCCTGAAAAGTGCTGCTTAACCAAATAATTTTATTTAAAGTAGCAAGACTATATGTGTTTATGAGAATGGGAAATAATTTTTACAAGAGTGATGAGATAGTTTGTATTTACAGTTTTTATTATCCCTTTCAATGTTCAGAAATGGATCATGGATCCTGGGTCTCCCATGAGAATAGAGTTGGATGTGCCTACAGGCAAATATCATGGGAGAATAGCCTCTACTGGCATTTTAATTTCTTTCTCAAATGCATTAATTGCTCTTCAAACAGTTTCCTCTGTTAAGAACACTTACATTTACCTGGTCACCCAGGCTTGAACATTAAGGACAACCTCTGAAACAGCCCTCTGTGTCATAGCTCTCCTTCTTCATCTTTGGACATCAAATTTTATTGACAGTTCTTCCACAGCATTTCTCCCATTCATTCATTTATCTCTTTTAACACCTTTTCCACTGTAATTCAGATCTTTTCTTGACCTGTAGTTCATTCTATTAGATGTGCATGGTTTTTTTTCATCATATCCCAGTATATCAAAGCACCACAACACTAGACTCAGGCAGTAGGACCCCTGCCCGAAGCCTGAGCTTTAAGTTTTAGATTCCAGAGGCCCTCTTCTGCTGTGCCTCTTCCCTAAGAAAAAAAGAATCTTTGGGGTCAGACAGATATGTCCATATGAAGCCTGCACATCTCCTTCTAGATCATCCTTTAGGAACCTGAGACTCGTGACTTCTGTTTCCCTCTGAGGCCAGGGAAAGTTCTTTCCTGTGTCCTTCCTAGTAAAAGTTGAGCACAGCAGTTGTGTGTATCCTAGAGGCAAGGTTCACTGTTTAACTGGGGTGGGAGAAGCAAGTGGACCATTTCTTATCCTACCCCAGTTGGATATGTGGGCTACTCATGGTTTGTTAGAAAGCAGGAGATAGCTGGTAGAGGGGGACCAGGGTCACCTATTGCCATATGGTTATGATTCTGGCCTGCACTTGGAATTCTGAAGAACAAAAAAATTCTGGTTTGAATTTAGTCTTCCAGATTATTGAGAAATATTTTTCAAGGTAGGAGGATACTTTTACATTATTAGATATATGGTATGGGGGCCTCCATTTACAGTCTTGCTGTAGGCCCCATACATGCTAATAAGTGCTAGGGCAGGCTGTCCCATGATAGGTCCATAAAGAAAAGCTGTTCTGATGGTAGCACAGCTTTCTCCAAAGCACTTTGTTATATCCCAGTGCCCACTAAATAAACACCAAATTTATTATTTTGAACTTCAAGTCCTACGACACAGCTCCAAATCTACTTCTTTGGCTTTATCTACCACTATACTAGAATAAAAACCTAAATTCTCAAGAAATATGGATTATAATATTAACCATTCCTGAGACCCTGACACTGTTCTGCCTCTGCGTATTTAAATATAACATTCCTTTTGCCTCTGTGCTATTTCATGCTGCATCCAATATCCACTTATAAGGTCCTGCTCATCCTTCTTGATTTAGTTTGAGCAACTTCTCCATGATGTTTTTTTCATGAGTATCTAACCAAAAGTGATCCTTATCCATTAAGAGCTGGCCCATGTCCCGTCTTTGAATCCAACAAAACAAATATGCCAGTACCCTTCTAAAAGTTTTCTAAACATATGTTGAATTATTTTGTTACATTTTTCAATGCAAAAAAAAACTTCGTAAAGATGGTAATATTTTTTTCTCCTATTTTTCTTCTCAAAATATGCTAATTTAGGAGTCCATGAAATGAAGGCAAGCAAACTGAGACTTAGTACATAAACTAGTTCGGTAAGGGGCTTAATTTGGTTGATAAGTACAAAAGTAAGGCCTACAGAATCTTCTGGATTCCCACTGAGTTGATTACTATCTATTTTTTAATCTTAAATTGCTATTTGGTATTTGTTTTGTGTATCATACAAAAACATTGACTTTTATTTTCTCCTTTTTTTATTATTCTGTTAAAGTTTTTAAAATGAATTTAATTTATTTAAAGTCTCTAGCATTTTTGAGAATAATAATAATATTAATCTGGTGATATAATAGATGCTGTGGTATGCCACCAAGATCACTTTTAAGACCATGTCATTCCTCTAGCTGTCCAGAGTGTTGATTACTGTGAGCTTGATTCCCTGGCCTCAATTAGAACAATTCTGCAGGGCTATTTACTCTAAAACTCCTGATAGAATAGGCTGAGGCCTCTGTTGCAATTGCATCATAGCTCAACTTCTCCCTGTGTTCAGTCCGGCTTCCTTCACCCCAATAGGTGTTGCTGCTGAGCACCCTCTTCAACACACCACTTGCAAACACATTTCAGAGTCTCAGATATTGTTTCTCAGGAAACCCAACGTACAATGTGTGATGTTTACCTTGAAATTAAATTTCTTGTAAAATGTGTGTTGAATAGAAACTTTGGAGTTAATGTGGTACAATAAAAAATACTGGGGATCAGGCAAAGACACGCATGTCTGGATTTGAATTTCTGATTTCTGATTGACTTGTTCCATTATCTGAGCTAGCTACTTAAACCTTCTGACTCCTAATTTCATTATTATTGAAATCATAATAGTTGCTTACCATGCAGGGTTCATATAAGTGTTAAATGAGAGAAGTAAAACACCCATCAACATTATCTGATGCTTTGTAGACAGATCCTGATAAATGTTAGTTACTATATATCTCTCCCCTCCTCACACCACCTAGCTAAAAAGTCAAATTTGTGTCTTCAATTAAGGTAGGAATTCTATAACATATCTTAATTTGATTGATTAATCATAATTCATTCAATACTTACCATATGCCATGTACGATGTAGGCATTTGGGAAATACTGATGGAGAAGCAAAACATGTTTCTTCATGGATCTTACATTCTGAGGTAAGGAGTAACGAGAAAAAGAAGCTAGAAGATGACGAGAGCTCAGGATAAAATGGAGCAGGGTAAGGGTGAACAAGGTGGTAGGTTGGAGGAATTTGCAATTTTAAGTAGGGTGGTCGGTATGGTCCTCATTGAGAAAGTGATATTTCAGCAAAGATTTGAAGGAGATAAGAAAGTGAGCCACAGCTATCTGAGAGAAGAATGTTTCTTGTCCTGACAATAGGGGTCTCATTAAATCTACTTGATATTGTGGATAAACTGACCATTTAATATCCGTATTAGTCCATTCTCATGCTGCTATAAAGAACTGCCTGAGATTGGGTAACTTATAAAGAAGAGATGTTTAATTGACTCACAGTTCTGCGTGGCTAGGGAAGCCTCAGGAAACTTACAATCATGGTGTACAGGGAAGCAAACACATCCTTCTTCACATGAAGGCGGCAAGAAGAAGTACTGAGCGAAAGGGGGAATAAAACCCCTTTTATTTAATAAATCACATCTTGTGACAAATGACTCAGTATCGAAAGAACAGCAGCACAGGGTAACCACCCCCATGATTAAATTACCTCCCATTGGGTCCCTCCCGCAACATATGGGGATTATGGGAACTACCATTCAGGATGAGATTTGGGTGGGGACACAGCCAAACCATATCATTACATCCTTTCTCATCTCTGAGCCTTGGCATAAGTTGCCCACTCTACCTAGAAGGCCCTTTAACATACCTATTACTGTGCTTAAACATGTTTAACAGCCAGCTCTCTGTAGGACAGGAGAGAAAGCTCTGGTGATTGCATGTTTCTGTGGTGTAAATAACCCTATCATGACCATGTTACCAATGTGGTGGCATGGAAAGTGAAATTGGAAAGAGATGCAAATTGTCTCTGGCAAGCTGGTGTGAGGGAGCTCTAACACAGTATTGTACTTGATTTACTTCTCACAGGGTGTCACCTGTTTGAAGTTCTCTCTGCTGTAGCTCTTATCCCATTATGGTTTGATACCATTGTTCTGCCTTCCGAAAGCACACACATTCTTTTTTCTGTCATAACACTTTCATATTTTGCCTGCCCATTTATCCAAAACACTTGACCATTTTAAGAGGATGATCATTTTTACATTAGGGGTATTTAGCGTAGTTTCTGACATAGAGTAGGAACATATAGTATATTTTTAAATAACCAATTTCAGTAGGTTTGTGTTTTAAAAATTTTTTGCTTCTAATAATTGATGACAAGAAAGAATTATTATTTTAGAGTAATAATGATATTTAGATTATGATGTTAAAGAAAGCTTATATCTTTTAGAGATATATGCTGGATATTTGCAGGAAAAAAATACACGGATTATGGATTTGCTTCTGAATAATCGAGTGGTGTGGTGGGTGAGGGGATATGGAAGAAAAGATTGGCCAGAAATTCGTCATTTTTGAAACTGAATGACAGGCACACTGTCATTTATTCTCTTTTTTTCTCTTTAGTGTTATATATGTTTGAAAAATTCCATAGCACACTGTAAATAAATTCATTCTAATTTACTTAATTTGATGTTTTTCGTAAATTGAACTTTGGGCCAGGTACAACATCGTTCTTTGCATAATTTTACTGTTAGAAAATTACATTGAGCATGGAATCACAATTCCATTAATTGATTTTTGAAGTAGTTAATATTTGGTAACCACTAATATAATTATCTTGATAATATATTTACTTTTCAGCCCTAATTGCCCTGGAAAGATATTGTATAGTTGATTAAGGAAAACAAACAAATGTACAAAACAAAACATAACAAAACAAAAAATTATGTGATCCGGAACACTTTAGAACAGGACCGGAACATAATATTCTATGCAGTCCTTTCTTGGCTTAAATAGTGTTACAGAAGTTTTTATTCATATTTACATGTTTAATTCCTATCAGTTAAAAATGATTAGTCAGGAAATTATTCATGTAAAATTGCCGCTTTGAGTTATTTTACAAAAGTGGTTTTCTGACAGACGCAAGGGAGAGATTTATGAGAGGCAAGTATAAAGCAAAATCTATTTTTTCAGTGGCTGCACATACCTACCCTGAGTGTTTTACCTAAAGAGTTCAAGGATGGATGTGAAATTGCCTAGGAAATTAGATGTAGATTTATTTTATGTTAAACCTGAGTGTAAAGAATATGTTTTAGTCTAGCAATATTAGTAAATATTGCTACAAGTATAAAGAAGCAAATCATGTCTACAGGGGCTGGAAGATCAGTGGGTACTAAAACGAAATCTTTTGTGGCTTATTCTCTTCTATCTGGGCAGAATTTTAAGTAACTGTTTTACATTTCAAATTCAAGTTTACATGAATACATAATAATTAAATCACATTTGATATTGATGGACTATAAGGAACTTTGCTAAAAGAATATAGACAGGACTCTGGGGAATTTCTACAAGGGAAATAGCGGATTTTAATATTTGCTCATAAGATAGCCCAACTTTACAAGGAGTTCATTAGAAGATGATTAGCAGTGCATTTAAAATGCTTGATAGGGTCTGGTTTTTAAAAAGGAGCAGTAAGGTTTTCTTACTGCTGTAATACTTAATAAAATGCATTTCATTTACACAACACAATGAAACAAATATCTGCTCAACTAAGATGCTTTCAAGACAAATGAGATGAAAGTTTTTGCAGTTTCAAATTTCATTATCTTTATTCATTCACTTCCAACAAGACCTGATTCTACTAAGACTCAAATTTGAAATATTTATTGCCTTGAGATATATTGCCATGTTTTTCACAAATTTGAAAAAGTTGCAAATTAACGTAGAAGTTGCAAGATTAACACAGGAAACTCCCTTATACATTTACTCAATTTCACCGGTTACTGACATTTTGCTACATTTGTTTCATCTTCTCTTTCTCTAATATATTGATATAAACATGTGTTTTTATAATATACAGATATATACTTTTTTCCTGCAGTATTTGAGAACAAGTTCAATCGTTCACCCTTTTCTCCCTAATGTCCCAATATATGTCACTCAGGAACAAGGAAGTTTTCTTATGTAATGACTATACAGTTAACAAGTTCAAGAAATTTGACATAGATATAATAGTTTATCTAGTTAACAGCCCCATGCCAATTTTGCAAGTTGTCTCAATAATGTTCTTTATGACACCTTTTTTGTCCAGTTTTCAAGCCAGTCCAGGATCAAATATTATATTCAGATGTTATGTCGCTTAGGTATCCTTTAATCTGAAACTATGCGACAGCTTTCTTTGTCTTGGTGCAGATATTTTTTGAGGACCACAGAGAAGTTATTTATTTTACATTGTCACTCAATTTGAGTTTATCTGATATTTCCTCATGACTACATTGAGGTTATGTATTCTTTGCCAGAATATTATATAAGTGACGTTGTATTCTTCCCAGGGTATCAAACACATTAGGAACCACACGACTGTCTCTCACTGGTGATATTAATTTAGATCTTTCAGCTAGGTCATTGCTCAGAGTTTCCACTGTGTAGTGGAGAATAACCTTTTCCCTTGCAACTAATAAACAACCTGTAAGGAAACTCTTAAAGAGCATGCAAATGTTCTGCTCTGCATCAAATTATTCTCCCTCCCTCCCTCCCTCCCACTTTGATTTAGCATCCATTGATGAAGATTTCTTCCTTTCAGAAGAAATATTTTTAACAATGACTGCAAAAGGACGATTTTCTAACTCATCTACTTTCACTGCTGGAAGTCCTTCATTCTTTTCCTTCCAATTAATTATCAATATGGACTGGTGGATTACTATTGTGTTCAATGGCTGATCAATTACTTTGATTCTCAAATTGTCCCAGACTTGACTGGGATAATCCGTTCAAAGTGGCTTTGTGTCCTTTTGACATGCCCACATCATTTTTTTTCCTCATGAGCACTTTCTTGTTATAATAATCTGTATCACTCTCAACTTTTATATTTTCTGTCTCAACTTTGGAGTCAAGGGCTATAAGAGCCCTGATTCTTTTTAATATGGAATGATACTTAAAAACCAATATCTGTATATTAAATGTGCTCACGGCTACTTGGGTACAATTACAATTCACTGGACCAAATGTAGGAAATTTGTGTGTGTATGTGTTCATCCCATTCCCTCAGAATTCCTTCTTGTATCCCCTATTTTATATTTGCATTCCCCCTTTCCCTGGTTCCTAACATAAACATATTTACTCTTTTTTTCAGTCCTATATTAAATGTAAAAGTTCCAGAATTGTGACATGCATAGCAGCCCAAAAATCTAGTAAAAAAAGTTAAGCTTCATTTGCAGTTTTTTCCCTTTACATGAGATTCTACAGTCAAAGTACTGGGTTCACATGTTACCTGAATTACTTTTTTTCTCCCTTTTGTTTGATCATGTTATTTATTTGAAATATTGCTGAATTCATATATTTCTGTCTGATTCACTTCAGGTCTTTTTCCTCTTGTTTAATTTTCTGTTTTGAATGTGTACTATGCTTTTAATGTCAAAATTATTCCAAAAAAAAGTTTACTCAGAGATCATTCCCTCCCCATCCTTTCCACCCTGTTCTCCTTCCACCTCTTATAGGAAACCAGTTGCATTCTTTTCCTTATCTTTATCTTTCTTGTATTTCTTTTTGTAAAAGTGAGTAGATACATGTCTGTTTTCTAGTTACCTCTTTCTTACACTAAAAGTAGCACACTATACACTTTTTTGAACTTTATTTTTCTCAGTATATTTTAGAAATTATATGAGTTTATAGGTATGATTTTTTTTTTTTTTTTTGAGACAGTCTCGCTCTATCACCCAGGCTGAAGTGCAGTGTTGCAATCTTGGCTCACTGCAACCTCTGCTTCCCAGATTGAAGCAATTTTCCTGCCTCAGCCTCCTGAATAGCTAGGATTACAGGAGAGCATCACCACACCCAGCTAATTTTTGTATTTTTAGTAGAGACAGGGTTTCACCGTGTTGGCCAGGCTAGTCTCAAACTCCTGACCTCAAGTGATCTGCCCACCTTGGCCTTGATTTTCATTTTTATAGCCCTTTAGTGCTCCGTTGTGTTTATGTACCCTAATTCCCTCAAACAATTCGCTATATGTGGGCATTTGAACAGTGTATTAGTCTGTTCTCACACTGCAAATAAATACATACCCTAAACTGGGTAATTTATAAAGGAAAGATGTTTAATTGACTCGCAGTTCCGCAGGGCTGGGGAAACCTCAGGAAACTTACAGTCATGGCAGAAGAGGAAGCAAACATGTCCTTTTTCACATGGCAGCAGCAAGGAGAAGTGCCGAGTAAAAGGGAGAAAAGCCCCTTATGAAACCATCAGATCTTGTGAGAACTCACTCACTGTCATGAGGGTAACCGCCCCATAATTCAATTGCCTCCTACTGGGTCCTTCCCATGACATGTGGGGATTATAGGAACTACAATTCAAGATGATATTTGGGTGGGGACACAGCCAAACCATGCCAGATACTTTCCAATAATAAAAAACAACTGCATTTTTCTCCAGCAACGTATGAGGGGATTTGTTCCGTAAAGCCTTGCAAATAGGGTATCTTGTAAACTTTTGACATTTTGCCAATTCGATGGATAAGAACTGTTATCTCAGTGTAGTTTTTCAATTTTTATTTTTAATTGTGAATGAAATTGATAATTTAAAAATATATTTTGTTAATTCCTTGGTCATGATTTTTGCCCATTTCCCTACAGGACTTTTGGACTTCAGTTCTACATTTTTAAGGTTTCTTATCTATTAGAAAATTTATCTTTTTTTGAGAAATATTCCACATATTTTTCACAATTTATGATTTATCTTTGACTTTGCTTGTGATTTTTCCTCATGCACAAATTTGTTTTGATTTTTATTTAGTCATTTTTATAAATCTTGTCTTTAATTGTATCTAGATTTAAAGTCATAGTCAGAAAACCTTTTCCATGTTTTAGAGAAATTTACTCACATTTTCTTACAGTACTTATATACTTTAATATTTTGTGCTACACTGGTTTTAACACAAATAATACATTTTTAGATAAATCAGAATAAAGCTACATTTATGCCACTAAATTGCATCTGGCAACCAAGAACAGAGTGAATTTGGCTATTCTTAGGTTTTTTTTGGTAGGAGTGTCTGAGAAATTGTGAACTGTAGTTAAGAATTCTCTTATTTCACTAAAGCTATTTCCTTTTCAAAATAGAGAAAAAGCAAAACTTATTTTTTCCTCAATAGTAAGGAGACAAAATAGGACACCATGTTTCAATAAGGAAACTGCATGATATGCATGAAAATTTCTTGAAACACTGAGCACAGTCATTTCTTCCCCACTCCTTCATCAAGGACTAATGAACTTAGAAAACTGAGTGGTAATTCTCAAGTGCATCCCATACTCCCACCCTACCTAGGGAAAGTCAGAAAATGTGCCATAAGTGTTTCACATCCTGCTTAACTCTAATCTGTGGATGGGACATCATTCAGATTAACCTTTATATATGCATATTACTTTTTAAGGTTAAACAAAAGGAATTATAGTATACACTCAGTTCTTTGCCTTATTTTTTTAATTTAAAAATTTGAAAAACTTCACATCCACAAAAATGCCTTGTTCTTTTTAATGACTAAATATTATTTAATAAAATACTATTTAATGAGGAAATAGTTTGTTTACAATATCAAACAGTATATTATTTATGTTTATTAATATATAATAAATTGATATTATTTTATATATTTATATATTCAATTTAACTTAGACTTTCTTGATGGGTGCTATGGTTTGAATGTTGTGTCCTCTTCAAAATCCATGTTGAAACTGAATTCCCAATACAACAGTACTACGAGATAGAATCTTTAAGAGGTGTGAAAGGGCTGGAGGAAACTAGCAGGGACTTTTTGCCTTCTATCTCCTGTGCTGTGTGTGAACACAGCGTTCATGTCTTTTTCCCTTCCATCTCCCAGTGTGTGAGGACACAGTAACAGGGTGCCATCTTGGAAGCAGATGCTGGGTCCTTACCAGACACTGAACTTGCCAGCACCTTGATCTTGGACTTCCCAACCTCTAGAACTGTAAGAAGTAAATTCCAGTCTCAGGTATTGTGTTATGGCAGCAGAAACAGACTGAAAATGAGCATTATTTGTTTCTATGTTATTAATATTACAAAAATGATGCCCAATCACCCTTAAATATTCCACTATGTACCATCTGAAAACAAATACACGCTGTTGCACACTGACCCTCCTAATCAGAAAATCAATAATGATGCATTACCATTCAATCCATAGATCATATTACATAAACAAAGGGTGTATGGCACATGAGTGATTGAAACTTTATTTCAGATGTATTTCTGTATTTAAAAAATGTTATACAATGAACACGTTATTTTTAGAGTCAGAAAAATATTTTAAAATATCAAGTTTTTTTGGTCTCTTTAAGCCTTACTAAATAAGGAGATAAATGAAATTATGTTAAATATCTGGCCATTTAATTAAGTAGGATCGGAACCAGGTGGTAATTCCAAATTATGCTGAGCTCTTAGATTAACTGGGTAACTTGACTTTTAAAAAAGGTTTCACTTCAAAGGGCAGAATGGAATTCAACAACTAGCAACTAGCAAGAGTAACAAAAATCAAACCATGGGTAAGCATGGTACCCACAGCTGTGAAAAATGCATTTTATAATTTTTTGTTATCTAATCCTGTCTTCTTGAATTACATTTGGTTGGCCATTCTCAGCAACAAATTGATGAAAAAATTCTCCTCTAAGTTAGTAGACTAGTTAGTATAATTTGGTCATTAAGATGTATCAAGTTGAGATTTTTATTTTGGTCCCACATCCAGATGTTTATTTTATCTTATATACATGTGCTAATAGATGAGATGATAATAGAAAGATCTTACAAGATATACTATACCTAATGAGATCCAGGTTTCTTACTATCAGAGAGAGAAGTTACAAATTAAGCAAGGAAGGAAGTCTGGTTTAGAAGTAGAGATGTCAGTATGAATGCAGATAAGTAGAGAAACAAGTTCAGATATATTTATATACATGGGTTAGCAAACATATTTTCTAGTTCTGTTCACTTAAGGGCCTAGAAGCAGTGACACCCTCATAGCAACCAACCAACACATCTAGGGCTTAGATTATTGTTTCTTTCCTT
This sequence comes from Homo sapiens, assembly GCF_000001405.40. NCBI lineage: Eukaryota > Metazoa > Chordata > Mammalia > Primates > Hominidae > Homo > Homo sapiens. The sequence goes on from NC_000010.11 coordinate 52,089,804, forward strand.
CTTTTTTTTTTTTTTTTTTTTTTTTGAGATGGAGTCTTGCTCTGTTGCCAGGCTGGAGTGCAGTGGAGTGGCACAATCTCGGCTCACTGCAACCTCTGCCTGCCACGTTCAAGTGATTCTCCTGCTTCAGCCTCCCGAGTAGCTGGAACTACAGGCATGTGCCACCATGCCTAGCTAGTTTTCGTATTTTTAGTAGAAATGGGGTTTCACCTTGTTGGCCAGGATGGTCTCGATCTCTTGACCTCGTGATCCACCTGCCTTGCCCTCTCAAAGTGTTGGGATTACAGGCGTGAGCCACCACACCCGGCCTAGATTGTTGTTTCTAAATACCATTACTCCATAAAGAAACCAGAACTCCTTGGAGAAATGGCTAATTCTATACCTGGGGTAGGAAATTATAAGATGATCCTGGGGTATCTTGTAGTGCTAGAAAGGAAGGAATGATTTTTTTTTTAAATGGCTACATACAAAAAAGACATTGGAGGCAACCTGAAAGAGCTCCCAATGGGCAAAGCTAAAACAATTTGTGTAACAAAATAAATTATAATAGTATTGGATTGCAAACCATATAATAAAATAAATGTTCATAAGTCCCTACAGATACAAGTAATTTATTTATAAATAAATAAATACTGAATAAATAAGTGAGAAGAGGTAAATATGCCTTACAGAATAATTCTAATTAATAAATGTAGAAGAAATAAGGGAAATAGAAAATCATCATTGGATCATCACAGTTAATAATTGCTGCAGGCAAGATCCACTGAAAATGGTTAAAATTAATGAGTTCAAACTTTAAGGTGAAAGGGGATATTTGCATAGCCTTAAACTATCTCCCTCAATATATTTGTTAATTACCATAGTCCTTCTAACATGTGTCCACATAAACATTTTGACAAGTAAATGTTATTTGAATGTGGTAGGTAACTATTAATTAGAATGCCTTTTTCCACTAACTTTTATGGCAGGTTATCAGTTTTAAGGTTTAATCAATTAGCACATTACATAAAATGAGTATTGAGGTATAAATAAATGAGAAATTGCTGATGATCAAACCAGTCCATTTTTGCCTTCTGCTAAAATATTAATGTCAACCTGTGAAAATTACCAAGTACATTTGTCAATGCTTTGTTCTTCTACTCTTATTGACATACCTGTGTTAGTTTTCTATTGCTGCATAACACATTACCATGAGTTTCGAGGACTGAAAACAACATTCATTTATTGTCTCACAGTTCTGTGAGTCAGAAGTCTCAGTGGGCTTGGCTGAATTCTCTGCTGAGGGTCTCAGGAGTCTGTAATGAAGGTGCCGGGCTCTTGTCTGTTGTAATCTCTGAGGGAAAAATCTGCTTTTAAGGTCATTCCGGTTGTTGGCAGAATTTAATTCCTTGAAGTTGTGAAATTGAGGCCCCCCTTTTCTTGTCAAATGGCTTCCTCCATCTTTAAGCTAGCAAAGGTGACTATTCCCTTGTTTAGAATCTGTCTTTCTTCCCTTCTTCTACTAGTTAGAGAAGACTCTTGGTTTTTTAAAGGGATTGTGTAATTAGATCAGACCCACTTAGATAATCTCCCTATCTTAAGATCAACTGTGCCATATAACGTAACCCAATAGTGGGAGGGATGTTGCATCAAACTCATAGATCCTGGAGAATCCAGGGAAATATATCTTTGAAGAGTTATTTCAGAAATTCTGCCTACCACAATAACATCTTGTCTAATCTTTACAGTTATGTCTTTCATTCAGTCTTGTTCCTAACATGTGGACAAATTAAATGGAGATAAAAGTGTCCCCTTTGACTAATATGATATTTTAGACATTTGCAAACAGTATGGGCCATCATGTTGGTTTTCATCAGTGGGTTAAACAGTCTTGGGTTGCGTCAGATTTGTTTTTATTTTGTAGAGATTTAAATGTGAGAAAACTATATCAAAGCAGAAATGTTCTAAAGAAGACATTTGAGGTGTCCTCATTGTGAAATCAAAGCATGCATTAAAGTGGTGATAGGAAAGTAACGAAGGAGCAAACCTTAATGCACATTCATGGAATTTTGATATTCATCCTCTGGTGCAGCAATCCCAAATGTACAATAATCATCTTTTTGAAAGCGAATCAGATATTTATTGTTCTGTATAAGGAAAGAGTTTGAGAAAGTAGGGCTGACTTGATGTCACGGTATGACTACTTCTGGGCAAAAACTTCTCCTGGGGTTACCAGCGTTTCCTTCTTGATTGCTAATGAGGCTGCATTGTGAGCATGAGCACTTAGTATTTAACTTGTGGTTCCTATATTAAACCCAGTAGATTATCTCCATTGTTCTTCACACCTAATAGGCAGGTTGGTTAGACTTTTATTATGCCTTAATTTTACCTGTTAGGGAGGATGACTCATAAGGGGTATGACAATACGCATTTTAGGTAAGAACATCTCATATCATCTCTTCAGATTTGCTCCAGCCTATTTATGTGTAAAGTAACAGCCTACCGACATACACTAAATTTTATTTTAAATAAAATTTCCTATGCTTTTTGTTATATTTGTAGTGTAGGTTTCCGTGAGTACTAAAATTTGAAGGCTAGTAACTGAAAATAGACTTTTGTGTGTGTAATATTCCTAAGAACACACTGAAAAAAACCCCAGTTCTGACATAAAGTTTGATTCTTTTCCTTGTGATGTGGAAGCTGCTGATATTCTTTGGTCATCCTTCTATGTCTGATTACATTTCTGAGTTGTAACCTTACCCCCTTCAGCATAGAGTCCTGTGGTGTTAAGAGTTTACTCTGGCAAGCACTTTGATTGATACTTGATCCAACTTGTGTCCTCTCAAGGGCAATAAAGGATCTACAAAATGTAGAAGACTTCACATAAAATTAAGCACATCAAATACAATTTAAATATGAAAATATTCTTGTATTGTATAATGCTTTAAGTTTTACTGGTTAGCAAAATGATGTTTTAAACCAAATTTCTATTTTGTGTGTGTGTTTTACCATTGGGAAGATTGTTAAGAACTCAAGATAAAAGCAGAATGTTGAGCCAAATTGTGGTACACAAACTGAAAAATCAATTTGCATGGTAAGTATGGTTTTATCTGCATAATTATTTTCTTGTTAATTGTAGGGTGAAACGGCCTTAGACAAAATTCTTAGAGGCCTGTAAAATGTGGACTGTAGAATCCTGGTTTTGAATCCCAATTATTAGCAATGTGAGTGTGACTAGATAAATGAAACTTGGTTCTTTTCAGTAAAATGGGATGATAATCTTAGTACCCCATGAAATGTGATTGTTCAAGAAAACCTTGGATGTAGAACCACTGTTAGGGTTTCCTGGCACTTGTTTAACTTTCATTGTTAGAAATACATGACAAATATTATATTGGAACATAAAGAAGTGAAGATTACTACGTAATAGAGACGTTTTGTTTCTTTAGGTGAAAATTCAAGTGACTCTTTAAGCTGTCTTAATAGAAATAAGATGTTTCTGAAATCTTTTTAAAAAGAAGTGGTCAAATAACTGTTATCCTTTCTGAGTTCCTTGCATTTTTCCATTTGTCAGAGAAAATAACTTAAAAGTGAAATAAATTTCATCTAGCTCTAGCTACTTAAGGAATTTAGGTGCTCTGGCATTAATATTTTATGCAAAAGCAAATTGTTTTGAAAATGTACATGTGAAAGTAAAGAAAAAACACCATGAAAGCAAGCCTCAAAAACAAAATCAATGTGAACTTCTTTACAGGAAAAGGAATTTTTCTTTTAACCTTTAAAATTGCCTCTAATAATAGATGGATGACAGGCAATTATCTGATTTAAAGTAAAACATATTAATGCCTGCCTTGTTCAGATAGCTCTTGCAAAAAATTTTCTTCTTTGTTTTGAATTATGCAAATAATCACCTCTGTTTATTACTTCCATTTGTTAGTGTAGGTGTTGCCTTAGTCTAGATCACAGCAAAAATTGAGCTTTTTGGAGGCATCCTAAGAAACCCAACTGTTATATATCATGTGGGAAGAGCTGTAGTAGAGTGGAGCTTAACCTTCTATAGTTTTAAACTCTGAAAACTATAGACTCTTCTACAAAAAATAAATTCCCATATACAGAAAATTATGCACACAGCGGAGGAGCTTACAGACATTCCAAAACCTGCCAGTGAAAACCAGATTAAGAACCCCTATGGTTGCAGAAATCAACTTGCTACTATTTCCCAGACAAATTGGAGAGTTGTTATTTAGCAAGCACCTTGAGATGTATATTAAAGATTCTAAAAAAGAAAATCATACAAACTGGGGAAAATGTTTGCTTAGGGGTCTATTTCTTTAATATAGAATAGATTAATGAAAGAACTGTCTTGAAAATATGGTAAATATTCTTGTAGTTGTATTATGCTTGACAAAATGATGTTTTAGGCACAGTGAAGGATTTGAAATTCACCTAGATCTGTATAAAAACAAATTTATGCAATCATTCCTACTATTACTAGTTTAGTTCATACGTTTTCATTCTTCCTCATTTGTCAATAATACTGCTAATACATTTCCTTTGTCAGCTGCTAAGCTAATTTCTTTTTTTGATATTTTTATTTAATCACTATACATTAATTTGTACTCATATCACTTGATGCTCTCTCTCTCTCTCTTTTATCTCTCATTTATATAAACCCATTATTTCATTTCTTTTATTTTATATCACCACCGTTCATATATTTAAACATTAAAACCAAAGAATTCTCCCTCATGTTCATTACTATCTTAGTCTGCTCAAGCTGTCACAACAAAATACTGTAGCCTGAATGGCTTAAACAAGAGAAATTTATTTCCTCTTGATTCTAGAGTTTCAAAAGTCTGAGATCAGGATGCCAGCATGGTAAGTTCTGGTGAGACCTCTCTTCCTGGCTTGCAGACAGCTGCCTTCTTGCTGTGTGCTCACAGGGCTGGTGTGGGACAGGCATCTGCACAAGCTCTCTTGTTTCTTCTCTTATAAGGACATTAATCCCATCTTGAGGACCCTACTACACTCATGGCCTCATGTAGAGCTAAATACCTCCCAAGACCCCATCTCCAAAGATTATCACACTGGCAGTTAGGGCTTCAACCTATGAATTTGAGAGGTCACAATTCAGTCACTATCAACTGCATTTGAATTGGAGTGTTTTCTTGTAGGGTTCAAACTCCTTGGGACCATTTCATGCTTATCTTTTCTCAAAGACTGCTGCTTTTTGGCCACTGGATTCTGCTAGCACAACTCATTTATTCATTAACAGCCTCTAAGCCACCTGCCAGGCCCCACACTATCTGCACCTCTGCCCCTGCACCAGCTTTGTTTTACTTCTCCCCTCTATAGCCACAGTGGGCTTCCTTGCTGATTCTTAAACATACCAGGCACTCTGGCCTTTAAGCTTTGCCCCTGTTATTTCCTCTGCCTGGCATATTCTTTCCCAGTATATCTTCTTGATATACTAAATTCCTCATTTTCTTTAAGTCTTGGTTCAAATATCACTCTCTCAATGAGAACTACTCTGACACCTTATTTAATTCTGCTCCCTTCTCCCACATGCCCAGTGCCCTTATCCCTAATTATTTTATCCTGGTCTCTATATTGTTTCCATAGTACTTATACTTTGATATATTATGTAATATGTTTATTTATTTTAGTTGTTCATTTTCACCTCCTAACTGTGCCCTCCCTGAACCACCAAACATATGCAAAATAGAATGTAAGCACCATGAGGGTTGAAGGCAGGGATCTTTGTCTCCTTTGTTTATTGTTAGGTCCCAAATTTCTATAACCATGCCTAACAGTAGCCATTTAATAAATATGCTTTAACAATATTAAGTGAATTTATGTATTTAATATTGAGCCAGTTGCTAGATGCAGAAATGAAATCTACAGCCCCATCATCCTAAGGAGTGTGTAGCCTAGAAACAAAGACAAGCAAACAAATGGCATCTATTGATTGCATATGATCTGTGAGTACTTTGGAGATACATTGTTGAGCAAAACCCAAGGAGGTTATAGCTTTCATGTTGCTCAAATTTAGCTAGTGATCAGGTTTACTACGAATGTAATGTACTTTCTAACTAGTGATACGTTAGTGATATGTTAGCCTTGATATGCAAGGTGCTGTGGGACCATAGCTGTGAGTGGTTGAAGTAGTCAGAGAGTGATTCCCCAGACAGGTAGCCCTGGGAAGTGAGCAGTCTGTAAGGCAGGCAATTAAGTGAGGAGTCTGTGAACAAGGAGTCTGGGGGAGAGCATTCCAGAGGGAGCAACATCTGTACTTAGAGGCTGTAGGGTCTCTGTATCTATTCCCAATTTAGTGCCTTACTTCTTGGCTCCTGTCACTGATACGTTTTGTACTCTCTGGTGCTACATCTTCTAAGAATTCCTCTTTAAACAAAGGTCTCAGACTGTAGGCTTTAGATGTGTTTTTGTAATCAACCTAATGTTTATAAGCGTTAAAACCAAAATTTAAACATCTAGGCACTTTTATATAAGCACATCTGGGTTCTCTTTAAAAATCTGATGAATGGGTAGCACTGGCTCACAGCCTGACATGGCAGCACCTGCATGTAGGGAACATACCCTCCCATTTATCCTGGTCCACAACTTACCCAGCTTCTGCAGGTTTCTGAGTTTTTGAATCTTGCACTGAAACAGGAAACCAACTTGCTCCTTGTAATGTGCAACTTCCTCTGCTTTGTTGCATTTCCACCCTTCTTAAGCCCTCTTCCATATATTCCTTGGGAAAATGCAGTAAAAACAGTTGGACACTTGCTTCGACACTAGCTTCTTCCTTTAAGTAGACTGCAGTTAGCGTCATTGTTCCATCTCAAGACTCCCTGTGACTTTGCATTAATTTTCTGAATCCTTGGCTCTATAGGGATGATGATGATGTTGGTATGTGTGTGTGTTTGTACATCTATGCACGCAGATTTAATATAATACACATATAATTTTTTGTTTTAAAATTGAGTCATTTTACTATAGTAAAATTAAAGTGAACTCCCTTGGGCTATTATTTAATACCTAGGAAGGCAAATTGGATTTATTATGGATTCTACTACAATGTAATATTGTAAGTTTCTGTTGTTATCCTTGTTATTATTATTAACTTACATGTAATGGCTGCTTGCTCTGGGCTGGATACAGAGTTAAGGACTTAGTATGCATTATCTAAGTTAATTCTTAGGACTCTGGGGTAGATCTTAGTTCCCATATTCCATGGATTAGAAAGTTAAAAATCAGATAGATTAAATAAAATTGTCAAGTTATACAGTTAAAAATCAGACAGATTCAATAAAATTGTTGAGTTATACAGCTTAAGATACAGAATTGAAATTTGAACCTAGCTTATATGACATAGATCCAGGGGTCCCTCCCACTCTAGGCAGAAAATAGGCCCATTTTTGCCTATTTAGCTACTAGTTAATAACTCATTTTTGACTTTTAAAGCATGCCCTAACATACATTGTGTCATTTATTTGCTTTGGAGGAAAAGAAGGTAAGAATGAGTTCTGATGAGTGTCTATTATCTACCATTTTAGTTCTATATACCAATTGTTGAATATTTGATTAGTAACTATTCAGTAGAATATATGGGTGTTGTTTTGCATTTTTTATTAATATATGATTTATTAAATGAAATTACTGTGTTAATATTTGTTTTAAAGATTTAATGATTCTAGAATAGTCTTCATTGATAAGATAACCAAAATTTAATCTAGCCAGTGCTATATCTTTTCAGTTCAGCATTTGTTTTGTTTTGTTTTTCTTTGATACTTTGATATTATACTTTACTCATGGTATTTAATAAACTCAGTTCATTAACATCTTCTGCAAACTAATTGATTCTCCATAAGAGGGCTTTGTGTTCTTGTCAATTATTTGATGTCTTCACAAGATTAGGTATCATTACATCCTAAAGCTAATTATTTTGCGAATGGTGTGGTGATTTTAATAGGCCTAATATATATATATATATATATATGTACAGATTGCTGATAGCTTTTTAAAAATCAAGATGTCCTTTGAAGATGCTATGAATCATTACCATTAATTTCTGAGGTACTTAGTCATTATAGGGCATAATGCTTTGTGCCTTAGGGAACAAAAATGGAGATTGTAAACCATAAAACTCTCTAAAGGTAAGGTTTTCTTATTTTTATTTGCTTAGCTATCAAGTACATTGCTATATAGAACATTTATCATATAGAATGTGAAGATAAAATACATAAATTTTGGTCTAATAAGGAAAAAATTTAGTTGAGAAAAAGTTCCATGCAGTTGCAAAGTTAAAAGGAAGAAAATGTTACAGTAGGTTAATTCAGCATGTACTGAAAATACTCATTTAATAACTGAAGCAATAATCATTTCTATGTCAAGAAGATACCACAAATGTTTTTTATTATGATAATTTTCATTTCACAAAAATAATACATTTTGATAGCCCTTTGTTCCTTGTAAAGTCAGTTTCTACAGTTCCCTCTAATTACATTAATTTATCATGAATCCTGAGTAAACATGTCCCTGAATTACTGATGGAGGTTTTATAGGAGCGTAGTGAATATTTAACTCCCTTTTTGAGAGAGTCATGGCTGATTTATAGCAATAACCTGAATAGGGTTGCTTTTACATTTCTCTAATGTATATTAAGCACTTTTGAGATCCAGGTACTGCATAAAATGTAGGGAAACAATACAAATAAAAAGCAGGAAAGACAGATGTGTAAATAGGCCGGGCGCGGTGGCTCACGCCTGTAATCCCAGCACTTGGGGAGGCCGAGAGAGGTGGATAACGTGAGGTCAGGAGTTCGAGATAGATGTGTAAATAGATGTATAAATGTAAAATTGAGAATGAGAAGCTTTGAGCTTTGAAAGTGTCAAAAGTAATGTGAAAATACATAGGAGAGTGCCTAATCCAGGCTGGATCAGAAAATGGGAATTTGGGAAGAATAGCTGATACCTAAATGAGTGTTAGGAGGATGAGTAGCCCTTCATTCCCAATCCCTGAAAAGTGAGTGGTTATGATGAGTGGGTGAGAAATGTGTTCAAATGGTCTAAGTATCTAAATAACAAACCTATGAGGGACTATAATTAGTTGGTTCCATGAATGCCTTTATAATAAAAGAATCCAAATGTAAAGCTGTATGAGCAGAAGGTAAAGGAAGCAATTCACTCCAGGGAGATACCAGAGAAATTTAACAACAAAAATTTCTAATTAGCTTAATCTTCTTTGGCTATATTTCTTAAACAATTTTAGTAAGGGATGACATGGTAAGAAAAGAGCAGGATCATAAAATAGCTGGACTGTTACAAGTTGGCTTCTGTACAGATAATTATGGAATCCCGCAGTTACACAGAATACTTTCAAAGATAATCTGTTTGTAAAATTACAGTGTAATCTCATTTTTTTATTGGCTTTCACTTGTGGCTACCTGTAGTAGTGGAAAGTTTTGATATGTATCAAATGGAGAGGAAAATGGTAGAACATTTAAAAAAACGCTTAAACACTGCTCTTCCAAAGTGTCCTGAAAGAGAGTTACGATGAGTCATTCTTTTACAGAAGTACGAGATGAATAATTTGTAAGAATCAGAGTCTAGGAAGAGATTTTTCCCTGTGATAAGTCTTAGAAAGACCACTTTGTCTTAGCATCATTCTCTAACTATGAAGACACTATGTCACACAGTATTTTGACACAGGCCTTATTGTGGATCCTCTTTTCTCTATGGTTTTTCTTTAAAATACATGTAATCCTGGGAGGGGTAACAGGTCGGAGTAGGAGAGTAGGGTTTGAGATATGTGTGGGGAAAATAAAAGATGGATCACAGTGGGTTCAAAGTATAAATTCAATCTACATCACACAAAAGTAAAAAGTGATACAGGGTCATCTATAAGATGTTACCATCCACAGTGACTTAGATACTGTTAGGGTTGCTTTTGGAATCACAAACCTAGGGTATAAGCCTGGCTTGCCACTAAATAGCCACGCAGTCCTGAGTTGACTTCATTCTGTAAGGCTCCTTTTCCTCATTGGGACAAATTAAGATTTGGGCACTTGCCTCCTAAGTCAAGAACTAAACAGGAGAGTGCTTGTAATGCATTTGGCACAGTGCTTGGCATATGGCTGCTGCTTCTGCTGCTTTGGATTTCATTATTCTTATTTATTTTATTATCGATGATGACAATGCTAGTATTCTTAGAGTAATCTACTTACAGGGGAATAATGAAGACCTTCCAGAGATTTCGTAAGCCAAAAATGTCAGTGGCACTTTCAGATTTGAATCTTGTCCCAGGATTATGGACAGCAATGAATTCAGTGAGGGGTAGGGATTCCTGTCTCATGGGGCCATTCCAGCCTTCTCCCAGCACAGTGAACTCATGTAAAGAGACTGGACAGGAATCCCCTTTGGTGTGAGGCCAAGGAAGGGCTTGCTAGTATATTTTAATAATTGATTTTGTTTTAATGCTTCTGTTGTATCTCTAGGGAAGCGTTAAGACAAGTCCAAAATCAGCAGCAGTGTTTGACTAGTTTTCCAGGAGCACTAATGGACTACGTGGAGTTAGAAGCATGGCCACCTGGCCTCACAGTGATGAATGATGTTAATTTGTTACATGCTAAAATAAATTCAGTGCACAGTCTGTACAATGAAACCGTTTTTATTTGTTTTTCTGCCGAGTTAGCTGACCTTTGGCACCACACCGAAGGGTTAAATGCTATAGATTTACTGTTGATCCTAATTCAGCTAAGATGAGCCCAGCCCCTGAGGATCCCTATTGATGATGTTTTAATAAACCTTGACAACTATGCAAGTTTTCCTTTATCCCTCTGAGAAGAAATAGAAATATCTGTTGCCAAGAGACTACTCACTTTATGTGAAATTATGGTCAAAACGAGAGCCTTTATCCAAGATGAATTGTTAAAATTGCTTTGTTGGTTTCATAGAATCTATGGTATTGTCATTTGTGAATCACCTTTACTTCATTTTATTTTTTCCAACCTCTTATTTATATCTGCTTTATTACTAACTGGAGTTTTATGAAAACAAGTAAAGGATTAAGTTCCTTTCATAAGGAAACATAGCTTAAAGGAAATAATATTTTCAATGCTGTTTTCAGCTCTTTCTCATTTGTGGTGTTTCTGCTTTGTTGCCCAGAATGTGTTCATTAGAGATTGTCTAAAGAAGTTCTATTAAAATTTCTGTGGCCAAGGCAATTTGATGGATATATGCAAACAATCTTACAGGATTTGGATGTTCATATACCTGCCATTCATATTGATGAATCTGTCTCCTTAGCTTACTTTTAATTTTCAGAATTCATATCAGCATATCTCTCTGCATTTTTATAATACTTCTGAAAAAAAATCTGAAAATATGCAAGCAGGTTTATTTTTCTGTTGAACTCCTGTCTTATTATGACAACAAAATACAGCTTTCAAAGGCCACTGATATATCTTTAACACTGCTAGTATTTCAGAGACAGGTATCCGTTGGCCCCATACTTTACAGCCTAAAAATATTAAGGAATACGAATTTGACATAATTTTACCATAACCACATTATATATTTTTTGTGAGCCCTATTTAGTCCATTTTAAATACATGGACTTTGTAGAGGCAGGTCATTAGAATGACATTTCCCTACTCATATATTGCCTAGGGATTTTCTTGAAATCTTATTCATACTGCATAAATTCATATAAACAATGAAGAAGCAAAGGATCAGTTTTCCAGGAATACAGGGCACTTAATAACAATAGTAATATAGTAATCAACATTTAATGAATTCTTACTGGGCCAAGTACTTATCTAAATAATTCATGTGTATTGACTCATTTAGTCTTCAGACCAACCCTATGAGGTAGATGGTTATTTTATCAATAAGACAGCTGAGACCCAGACAGGTTGAAATACCTTGGCCAAGGCGACCTAGCCAGTAGCTTCCAGAGCTAGAATGAAATTGACAGAGGTTGTATTAGTTTCCTATTGCCAGTATAATGAATTACAACAAATTTAATTGGTTAAAGTAACATCAATATATTATCTTTTAGTTCTGGATGATGGAAGCCCAAAATGTCCACAAAGGACATTTATTAGTAAAGAAGAGGAGTCAGCACCAGGACTTAAGGCAGGAAGGAATAGCCTAACTCTATTTTGTGCAAATGAAGTCAAGTTTATGATCAGGACTGCCCTTCTCTATAAAGATGCTAAACCCTAAGCCTTCAGGTGAAGGGAAAAGATAAACATCAGCTGACAGTCTTATGGATGCATAACAAAAAGGGCTAAAGAACATGAACCCCTTTTCTGGATTGGTTCCATAATCAAAACTTTGTCCCTGAAGTCAGGAAGTACCTAGCCAATAAACAACTGCCTTTTTACAGTTTTTTTTGTTTTGTTTTTTGTTGTTTACATTGGACAATGCCCCTGGGCCACCCAGAACCCCATGAGTTCAACATTAAAGGCTTTCATATGGTTTCCTTGCCCCAAACACAACATATTTAATTCAGCCTCTAGACCAGGAGTCACATGACGTTTAAGGCACAAACATCACAACCATATGCTGTGGAAAGAATTGACAATGCTCTGAAAGAGAATCTCTGCAGAGGGAACATCATAAGCATCTGGAAGGATTTCACCAGTGAAAATGCCGTCATCCTTATAGAAAAATCTGTGAAAGCCATCAAGCCCAAAACAACAAATTTCTGCTGGAGGAAACGGTCTAGATGTTGTGCATGAATTCATAGGATCTGTGACTGAGCCAATCACGAAAATCATGAAAGAGACTGTGGATATGGCAAAAAAAAGAAAAAAAAATTGGTGGGAGGTAAGGGGTTTCAAGATAGGGATCTTGGAGACATTCAAGAGCTAACAGACAACACACCAGAGGATTTAACAGAAGATGACTTGATGGAGATGAGTACTTTGGAGCCAGTGTCAGACAATGAGGAAGACATAGACGCAGTGCCAGAAAACAAATTGACATTAGACAATCTGGCAGAAGATTTCCACTTACTAAAGACTGCTTTTGAATTATTTTATGACATAGACCATTCTATGATATGGGCATGAAAGCAAATGGTGAGAGAACTGGTACCATATAGCTGGGGTCCCCAACTCCTGGGCCATGGACTGTTACTGATCTGTGGCCTGTTAGGAACCAGACCACACAGCAGGAGGTGAGCAGCAGGTGAGTGAGCATTACTGCTTGAGCTCCACCTCCTGTCAGATCAGAGATGGCATTAGATTCTTATAGGAGCACAAACCCTATTTTGAACTGCACATGCGAGGGATCTAGGCTGTGTGTTCCTTATGAGAATCTAATGCCTAATGATCTGAGGTGGAACAGTTTTATCTCTAAATTAACCCCAATCCCATGCCCCCCATCCTGACCCATTCATGGAAAAATTGTCTTCATGTCCCTGGTGCCAAAAAGTTTGGGGACCACTGCCACATAGAAACATTTTTAGAGAAAGGAAAAATCAAAAAAGTCAGACAGAAATTACAATGTATTTCCATAAAGTTACACTGTGCCTGCCTCTCCTGCCTCCTCTTCTCCATCCTCTACCTCTTCTAGCTCTGCCACCCAGAGACAGCATTATCAGCCCCTCTCCTTCCTCCCCCTCAGCCTAATCAATGTGAAGATGATGAAGATGAAGACCTTTATAATGATCCACTTTCACTTAAGGAATTAGTAACTATATTTTCTTTTCTTTATGACTTTAACAGCATTTTTTCTCTAGCTTACTTTCTTGTAAGAATACAGTATGTGACACATATAATATATACAAGAAGTATTAATAACTTTGCTATAGGTAAGGCTTCTCATCAACAGCAGTCTATTAGTAGTTAAATTTTGAGGAGTCAAAAGATATATGTGGATTTTCTACTGCACAGGGGATTGGCACTCCAACCCCTGTGTTGTTCAGAGGTCAACTGTATATATATGTTGTTGAGGAGAAATAATAATAATTTTAATTAAGGAAGACTAAATAAGCTTGAAAGCCTCATTGTTTTCTTTGTATGAAATAGCAGCAAAGGGGTAATTAGTTTTAAGTCAACAGTTAAGTCAATAAGATACAAATCTTTGGATTTATATATCCTATTAGATATTTCTCAGAGTCAAGAAAAACAATGAAATTAAAATCAGCCCTTAATTCTGTGACCAAATGAGCTCTCTTCTATTATGACTTCATGTGTGTGTGTGTGTATATATAATATATATATATATATAATGAGATATATATATATCTCATAGTTTATTTTAGCTTAGAATTAATTACATTTAAAATTAAATATAAATCCTGATTTTTAGCTGTCCTATCTGAACAAATGATTAAATGATGGCTATAATTTTATATTTACTTTTTAGCATATAAATCTTCTTATTTTATGTACATAGGAATACATTAATTTACTGTTAAACGTCATTTTAGCCACCAAATGGATTTCAATAAAGTAATAGATAAAATGCATTTAACTTACTGCATTCTTTAATAATGATATTTTAATTGTTAGAGACTATATTGTAAGATAAAAAGGAAGTCATTTAGGGCCTTTAAAAACTGATGTGGCCTTATTTCTATACAATGCTTACATTGAAAGATGATATCCAGATAAATGCATACCCAGTACCTTTCAGTGTTACTTAATCCTTTATCTGGTGAAATGACAGTTATCATTTGCTGAGGTCTTAAATTTGTTCTGAAAAAAAAAAATTGTTATCACTGTGGAGGATAGAAAAAGGAAGTCATGAATAAGGCCACCTCTGCTGAAACTTTCAACTATTTGGCACATAGGTTTACCTCAAAAGATGGAATACATACATGGTGCAAAGAGATGGACTAAATGATATATAAATAATCTTTCCAAGCCTGAAATCCTAAAAGATTTTCTGTCTTTAAGATATAGTTCAAGAATTGAAAACATCCTATTTCTTTATGAACTAAGACACATTATCATATTAATTACTCTATTAATTTATGCTACCCTATCAGTGGCACGTAACCTGATAAAAATAAGGCATATCAACCTTTTTGGAATTTAACTGTTCTACCTACCCATTTGTGAATCTTTTGATTTTTCACAATCCAGCCACAAATGTGTAATATTTTCCTTTACTTTCGTGAAAGAATGCGGGGAAATAAACATATTTTCAATTTCATTTGACTAGAGGTGGGATTTGCTTTCTTTTGATCTGTATTAATTGTAGTTTTAAAAAATTAGACAATAAATATAATGGACAACTAACAGAGGCCACGCAGATGCTATTTTAAGAATCATTGAAAAGAAGCCTTTTCTCATTCATAGTTTCTTAAAATCTTAAAAGGAAGAACTTACCGAATTTATGTGCAAAGTAGATGGTTGCTTTATTGTTTGGTGAAATTAAGAGACAACTGTTTTTTTTTTTATTACCAATTGGAAGAAACACATATATGGGTCCAAATTGTCTCCAGTTCCAGAAGGAAGCAGAAATTATATGATGTCTGTAAAAATACTTTATGTTATAGTTTTTAGGTCGCTGGATTACTTGCGTTTTACAGTTGGTTCTTTGTAAACACATCTCCAAGAAGTTGGTAAGAGATAAACTTGACTGATTTTGAAACTTACCCTGTGTTAAGGAAGCGATAATAACCCTGAAGGGCCACGTAGAATTAAGGCATCATGTTGCTAAATTATCCTTGGCTTTGCAGAATGTAGTAAGGTGCTATGCCGGACTGCAGAGGGCGTGTAGAATGGAGCCCTAACTCTCCCCTTAGTTTATCTTTGAAATCTTTCGGAGAAGTGAACTTGCACTTTTATTTATTTTTTTTCAAAGTTAATACCTTTTTAGTTTTTTTTAAACTTTTAAGTTCAGGGGTACAAGTGCAGGTTCGTTACGTAAGTAAACTTGTGTCATGGGGGTTTGTTGTACAGATTATTTCATCATCCAGGTATTAAGCTTAGTACTCTTTAGTTATTTTTCCTGATGTTGTCCCTCCCCCAACTCTCTACCCTCTGAAATTTGTTTCTTTTCAATGCTTCTTTTATTTTTTTTTATTTCAATAGTTTTTTGGGAGACAGGTGGTTTTTGGTTACATGGATACGTTCTTTAGTGGTGATTTCTGAGATTTTGGTGCACCCATCACTCAAGCAGTGTACACTGTACCAAATGTGTAGTCTTTTATCCCCCCACTCCCCTCCCACTCTTCCCACTGAGTCCCCAAAGTTCATTGTATCCTTCTTATGCCTTTGCATCCTCATAGCTTAGCTCCTGCTTCTATGTGAGAACATGTGATGTTTGATTTTCCATTCCCGAGTTACTTCACTTAAAATAATAGTCTCCAACTCCACCCAGAATGCTTATTTTAAAAATAGCAATAAAATAACAGAGTCTCCAAACTGTCAATTCACAAGTACTTAATGAAGGCCTTCCAGGTGTCCAGCACTGAATTGGACCTGTTGGAGATGTTGGAAAACAAAACCAAAAACTATTTGGCATGACTTGTTTCTAGACCGGGGTTGCCAAATAGAACATAGGACATCCAGTTAAATTTCAATGTCAGATAAACAGTGAACAGTTTTGTTACTGTAAGTGTGTCCGATGTGATATTTGCAAAATCTGTATTTTTACGTACTACCTCTGGCAACCTTTTCCTCCAGAAACTCACAGGTTGGTGAGAACAGTAACTTATGTATATTAAATCCTTCGGGAACAGCATCGCACAGCATGTTAAGCAAGTTACTAGATCATGTACTTTAGGCCAGCACTTCATGGTTTTGTCCTCCAGTGACACAAATCACAGATGGTCCTCATGGGAAGCATTAAGACATGCAGTATAAATGTTGAGTTATTCCGGGAGGTGGAGCTTGCAGTGAGCCGAGATCGCGCCACTGCACTCCAGCCTGGGCAGCAGAGCGAGACTCTGTCCCAAAATAATAATAATAATAATAATAATAATAATAATAATAATAATAAAGTAAATAAATAAAAATGTTGAGTTCTTGTTCCTGATTGTTTCTCCCATTTATTTTCAATTCAAAAAAGCAAATTGTAATGACACATAATGAGAGTGCCTTTATTATAGTGATATTTCTCATGTGATTCTAGTTTCTATATATTTTCAGATAAATTATTCTAAAGCACCCTTCAGCTATGGTTAGTAACAAAATACTTGCACAGCTGATCTTGTCACATTTATGTGTGTGTGTGGTTAGGAAGCTTTGCTTTATCTTTAAATGTCATGGGATGTCCTGATCCTCCATAGTCAGTGAGAATCAGAGGAGGCAGATCAAGTTTCACTGGAGAGACTGGCTATGAGTGAGTTCTCAAGAGCCTAGAGTGGATGCAGTTAAAGCAGCAGTGTCTGACCATTTTGTCATAGAAACATGAAGGAAGCCATTTCCTAACCAATAGAATGACCAGAACAAGATGTTACCCAGAAGGGGAGAAATATCCTCTCAGCTTGGGTAAACCAATGGAAGGGTTACCTCAAAAATCCTCTTTTGAGAAAGAAGTACATTTTAGACAAAGACCTAAAACATGGGAAAAGATTGTAGTCCTCTGTTCTGCTGTATTTTAATTGCTAAACAACAGTCAAGAAACTAAATGTATAATAAAATCTAAATTATTAATTTAAATATTATAAATTCTTAAATGAGATCGAGCATCTAAGGAATGACATTTTTATATAAAGCCTGCTGAGCAGTGAGAGTCATTTGGGAAACTTTGTTCAACCTCCACAATGTCTCAAAATATTTATAATATGCACAACATTATTACACGTTTCTTCTGCAATAATCTCTGTAAATAATCACTTGAACTTTAAAAATGTTGCACTTTGTCTCCTGTCTCAATGCCCTAAATAGATCTAAAAGATCTTAAAAAGAAGCAACAGCTTAACTAACAGATGACAATGTTTTCACAAATTCTTATTATTTAAGGTAATGAAGCTCAGGCCCTTATGTGTCTATGGGCCATGGATTTTCACTACCAATGTGTCGCTTTCCAATGTTGCCTTTTAGTATTATTTTTCAGTCCAAAAATTCTGCTACTTACTGCTTTAATTACAGTTTAGAGTCAGTAAATAAGAAAGAAGGTATGATTAACTTTGTGAAATAGAGTATAGTTGGCATAATCACCTAGCCTGTGCCAACATGGTAAAATGTGTCATGAAATAACTGAATTGATACAATATGGCATGTTTGATTTCTAGTGGTTATTTTAGAATCTTTCCATTTATTTTCAAATTATACACACGCATGCACATATATAGACATTGGGTAAATATTTAAATATATATTATCCTAATTTCACAAAGAAATATGAAAACTCAGAGAGGTTAAATGACAGCCTGATATCTCAAAACTGTTTTGGAGAGGAATACAAATATTGACTCCAGTTTTTCTGATCCCATATATGTTCCCACTCATATTTCATCCTTCTCTCTTTAAATTCTTAAAGAGGATGTAAGATGTTGACATGTACATCACACAGTGAAATTATACCAAGGATGTCACAGGTATGCCAGAAGTAATGGCTTTCAATCTGTATGATAGTTAGTGACATAACCTTTTGAGAAATTCATGTCTACATGTTTTTTTCAGGGAACTCTGCCTGGCTTCCAGTGATGTACACCATGATGACAGGGTAGCAACCCTGCTCTTGTTTCATATTCAAACAATGACCTGTCAAAGATACCTAAGTGTGGCTTGCTTAGGAGTGAGTCCAAGTATCACTGCCCAAGTGAATCGCATTTTGCTGTGTCATGTAAAATGTGGCCTCTCATTTCTCTTTCAGTATACTATAAATAATCAAGGAAAACAACACCTAGTTTATTCCTCTTATGATGTTGTTCACTAAATTATTCTAAGTAAAAAATCCTAACACTGGTTCATTCTACAGCTTATATTCTGTTATTACAAAAAAACCTGTCTTTTGAAAATGTACATAATCTATTAACAAAATTTTCCTCTTCTTTGTTAGATAGCTATTGCGATGATACTAAAGGTGTCAAAAGTAGAATTTTTATTAACCTGGGAGAACAAGTATTCCTTTTTTTTTTTTTTTTTTTGAGATGGAGTGTCGCTCTGTCGCCCAAGTTGGAGTGCAGTGGCGCAATCTCAGCTCACTGCAACCTACTGCCTCCCAGATTCAAGTGATTCTCCTGCCTCAGCCTCCTGAGTAGCTGGGACTATAGGGGAGAGCCACCATACCCAGCTAATTTTTGTATTTTTAGTAGAGACTGGGTTTCACCATATTGGCCAGGCTGGTCTTGAACTCCTGACCTCATTATCCACCTGCCTCGGCCTCCCAAAGTGCTGGGATTACAGGTGTGAGCCACTGCGCCAGGCCTTCAACAAGGATTTATTGGCATCACCTTATACTCTGAAAGTCATCACAGGTCTCAGCGGGGGAGTGGCTAGGAATATAACCAAGAATGTCATTTAGAAATATACTAGGCAGATTGCTGAAACCACATTATTTTCTGAAACATAAAATTTGGATATACTTTCTTCCCCCTACTTAACCCGCATTTTTCTAAAAGAACACATGCAGCTTCTAGGAATGTCCATATTAAATCAAAGGCGTAAAACCAGCTTATTTCTTCATGCTTATTTTCTTGGTTAGGAAAATACAGGGTTTGACTTCTCTTAACTGGTCAAAGAAAAAAATTAATAAATATCCACCATTTATTTAGATGTAAAATGTTTGGCTGGGCGTGGTGGCTCACGCCTGTAATCCCAACACTTCGGGAGGCCGAGGTGGGCAGATCACCTGAGGTCAGGAGTTCAAGACCAGCCTGGCCAACATAGTGACACCCCATCCCTACTAAAAATACAAAAATTAGCTGGGAGTGGTGGCATGTGCCTGTAATCCCAGCTACTCAGGAGGCTGAGGCAGGAGAATCACTTGAACTCAGTGATGTCGGCAGTGAGACGACATCACGCCACTGCACTCCAGCCTGGGTGACAGAGCCAGACTCCATCTCAAAAAAAAATCTTATCTCAAAAATGACTTTATGTGTTAAAAACAATAACAACAATAATAATAATATCACTGCCTTACATAGGTCATATATAGCAGTGTCAAAGAGCTTTACTTGACTTTGGATGGTGGTTCCTCATCTTCCCGGGCCATGTCCTGTATCACACCACTTCCCACTTCTCAATTCCCGAGCTGTGAGCCTTGACATTGTAAAGTCATTGTAACAGTGCAAAGATCAGGGTCATGATGTACCAGATGCTCACTGGGAAGGTGCTACTCAACACTCTTTAGAAGACCTGATTCTAGGCCGGGCGCCGTGGCTCACGCCTGTAGTAATCCTAGCACTTTGGGAGGCCGAGGCGGGCGGATCACGAGGTCAGGAGATTGAGACCATCCTGGCTAACATGGTGAAACCCCGTCTCTACTAAAAATACAAAAAATTAGCCAGGCGTGGTGGCGGGTGCCTGTAGTCCCAGCTACTCGGGAGGCTGAGGCAGGAGAATGGCGTGCTTGCAGTGAGCGGAGATCGCGCCACTGCACTCCAGCCTGCGTGAAAGTGCGAGACTCCATCTCAGAAAAAATAAGAAATAAAAAAAGATGAAACCAAGACCTGATTCCAGGTTGAGGATGCACGTGTAGATCTCTTTTTGTACTCTATTGGGAACATGCCCATCACATATTTTTGTGTGTCTTTTGTTTTTAGAAAGATGGAGGCAGGAGGAAGAAAGATCAGTACCCTCAGAAAAATATTGAGAAAATTTTTTTCTCAATTGAGAAATTGAGGCATGTTGTGCAGAGGCAGGGAGGGAAGATAGGAAAAGAGAATGAGACCAATACCACACTCTTTTCTGGGAGATCCAGTTTGCTTTTTAGAGCCGAGACATAGTTTAGAGCTATGCTTCCCAGCAAACAGTGCAAAGAGAGAAGTGTTTAGTTGCATGCAACATAGTATCCGTAAAGCACAAACAGCTTGATTGCTCAATAGATTATTCACATAGTTGGTACCACTTTATGATCATTCGTCTGTCATAGTCATAGCTGCCGTGTTGCTACTTTGTGTGACCAACTGCGTGCAGAACTGCATGTTCCAGGGCTAGGTAGAATGGCCATCCTCTTAGGAAGGGTAAATTATCTAAGAAAGAAAAGTGCCCAAGCAGAAATGTATCCATTGGACTGAGAAAGTACCTAACTAACCATGGCCAAGAAATGTTCACCAATGCCAAATACCAGAGTTTTCCCAGAGATCTCCATTTAGATTATCTCATTGAATCTTATCTCTCTACAATGTAGAAATTATAGTCCCATTTTTACCGATAGGTAAATCTAGGCACAATGAGATCAAATAATTTATTTATCTTACTTAAAAAAAGGATCCAGAACAGAGTATGTTGGAGTCCTCTGCCCACAGGCTTTTCATCACACAAGATAGAAAGTTGCAGATGGAAGTGGAAAAAAAGTGGTAGGGAAAGTATTTTGGAGAAGCAATTTCACATACATCTTCTTTAAATTAAACAATCTATGTACAGCACATGGCACAGTGCCTAGCACATACTAAATACACAAAAATGTCAGCTATTATACTAACACTTCGTTTTAACAATTTTGCTCCATTGGCAATGTAATGACAGCCTTTGTTGACATTTTTACTCAGTATTATAGGATTTGTAGATAAGAAAATGTAGTACATATTGTGATGTTTCTCTACTCTTATTAAAATTGCTTAGCAAACATCATAGCTATTAGTGTTTTAACCATTCCATTGCTTTGACATTAACAGATAATTTAAATAAAATTTGGGTTGTTAGATTATGACGTATGATCTGGATTGTGTATGTCAGTGAGAATGCTTTAATCCTATCTAATTTTAGTCTTTCTCTAGATATAAATAGTTTGTTCTTGGGGATCAAGGTGAAATGTTTCCACACTGAAGTTTCCTGGAGACACTTTGTGCAGTGTTGAGTTCACTGCTTATAACTTTGTGGAGGGTTGTTGGTAGGACATTCTACTGAAGCAGACAATTTACTTGCTTAATGAAGACATTATGAATCTTGAGGAGTTACTTCTTTGGGCTCTGTTTATCATCTCATTGAATTCCTAAGTGCTCTTCCCATATCTTTCTTCTTCTCGCATACTACTTAACATTAGCAGAGGGGTCTTCTTAAAGCTTATGATAGTGCCTGTCTTTAAATAAAGGATTAAAATATTCTAACATCACAGCCTTCTATTCTCTGCCTGCTGAAGCCTGACTGTAGACCATCTTTCTGACTGAGCCTTCCATATACCCTGAAGCCAACCTGCTTCCAGCAAAAGTGAACCTCTCAACACACGCCATCATTCAGGTTGCCCCCACTATTTAGAATAATCTTCCTTCTATCACTACAAACAGATTCTATCAGTATTTTAAAATCTGGTCAATATCTCCTTTTTCACATACTCACTCCTAAGGTTTCTACCTGAATGCAGTTTATGTTCTTTCCAGATCCCTTCATAAATACTTAGCTTGTGGAATTTATAACTTTTCTCTCTTGTATTATAATTATTTTGTGATTCTTACATAAACTTCTGGAGCTTCAGTTTCCTCCAACTGAAAAATGGAGATAGGCATCTGTAGCATATACGTTAATAGTTATACTTTGATTGTTAATTACAAAGCCCAATTCAATCTAGTGTGACTCATAAAGGGACCATATTAGATGGGTAATGAGGTATTTCATGGACCCAAGGTTCATAAGATATCTTGAAACTCTCAAAAATTATAATGAGCACCAATAAATCCATTGAAAACACATAGGATTCTTTCTCTCATCTCAGCTTTTCTGTTAACATCTCTCATTCTTTCTTGTTCCAGACCTGTTTTCTCTGCTTTTTCTATTCCTGTGAGAGCTTTCAGCCAAAGCTCTCAGGTTTTGACTTGTCCTTAAATACAAGTGTCCCTGATTCCCAGTTATCCCTAAACAGAATTTGATTGGCCAGCTTGGTCATGACATTTACCTCTAAGCAGCTGTAAGCATAAGAGCCTTCTGGCAAAGAATAG